>NC_000004.12:79527441-79678956 GCF_000001405.40 Homo sapiens | reverse complement strand
ATAATATGATTCTGTTAGCTAGAGTAACCTGCAAATAACTCCAGAGACTTTGAATTGATCAACAGAAGTAGCAAACTCTGAAACACGACTTTCACTTCAAGTGGAGCTAAGAACTCGAGAGTAATCTTCCATCTCCCACTCAGCTCTCCACTGGTTGCCAAACTGCAGGGGAGTAAAAGACTGTGTTATCTTGATAGACGAGCTGGAGAATCCCACACAGCTGTGTTGTGGAAATGTTCTCAATTTCCCTCATGATAACATTGAGTCATAAAAGGAAGAAATGAACATTTATTTGCCAACTCCACCTGTCTGTTGGGCCCACCATATCTATATTAGCATCAAGGGAACTTGCCTATAGTGCTGAAATTTTTATCAGTAGGAGAGAAGCAACTGTTCTTTCCCTTAAGTTGTGGTTAAAGCCAGTTACTTTTTTCATCAGAAACTAAATGATAAGAACTAAGACTTGGGTGACTCATTTGTCAACGTTAACATTTAGTAAAATGTTTGGAACCAAAAATCTCAAAACTTTTGAGCTTCACATATTAAAAATTCAACACTAGGGTGAGAATTACTTTTGTTCTGAATCCAGCCTGAATATATAAAACAATCTTTTAATTAGAAAAAAGGAAGAAAAAAAGACAATTTACTTGTGTTTTCTGGATAGGAGTAAGGTCAAATAAAGGAGGTAAATGAAAATTTAAGAGGGACAACAGTTTTTTTTTAAATCCAAAGATCTGGGATTTAACCTTTTCTTCTCTTTTTTTCTTTTCCTTTCCTTATTTTTTTTTATAAATTCATTATTTCTGAAATCACTGCATAAAATGTCCCTTATATTATCAAAGAGGATTAATTTTAGAGTTGAATTGGAAGTGAGTTTTCAATCTATCCAGATTAACTGAGGCACTAATTGAAGTGGCTTTTTTCTTTTTATTTATATTTGCAATCACCTCCTCTACTTCCTTTACACTTTAAGTCCAGATATTTGTTAGGCAGATTCCTTTTAAAAATTGAGCCTACAATACCACTTTGGATCCACACTCTTAAGCTGAAATGTAAGTATCACCTGGTGGGACAATGTGTGTGTTTTTCTGTTTTTCAGAATAATGCAAACACCAAACAAAAATAATAAATAACAAAAACAAAACAGGTTCTCTGGACCACAACAGCAAATCAGACTTGGCATCTGTACCCACCAGATTCACCATTTGATTGATAACTGTGATTTGCTGACTCTCTCAATTACTCTGGTTTCATTACAGTGTGAGAAATGTGCCAAGCACTCATTTGGTTTTTATTATCTTTCTAGTCTTCTGCTTTCATGAAATACCCAAAACTGGCATTTCAGGAAAAGGATAGGTAAATTAACTACAGCTGAAAAGAAAAGAGAAATCAGTTTTATTCAGTACGTCCCCCACAATCAGTATTATACAGTAGTCCTCCCTTATCCACGGGGCCTACGCTCCAAGACCCACAGTGGATGCCTGAAACCAGCGATAGTACTGAACCCAAGCACTGCAATACCACCACAGCCTGATAATCCAGAGGATAAGTGACTAATGGGTGGGTACATTTACAGCGTGGATATGCTGGATGAAAGGATGATCCACATCCTGTATAGGATGGAGTGGGTTGGCATTGGAGATTTCATCACATTCCTCAGAAAACATACATTTAGAAACTTATGAATTGTTTATTTCTGGAATTTTCCACTTAATATTTTCAGACTGCAGTTGACCATGGGTAACTAAATTAGCAGGAAGTGAAATCACAGATAAGTGGGGGCCACTGTATTACATTATCACTAAAAACCATATACAAATGCACAATTACCATTCAGAACACTACAAACTAGAATACAACCTGTTCTGAGTTCTCCTAATGTACAGATCCTATATATCTTTGGCTTTTCTTTTCTTCTACTAATAAAATCCTCTTTCTGGTCTCAGGTGAACAGAGCCATTTCCAGTCAATTGTCACAACCTCCTTCCTTTGCACCTACGTGGTCACTGATCCATGCATAATATAGTTTTGGAATTAGCTTGAATCAAAAGGATGACACTGAACCTTATGACTCACGCAGCTTTTGAGTGTGTTAGAAGCCCAGGCTCTCTTAATTATGTAACATTTGGAATCAGAACAAAAATGACAAACCAGATCCTTTCTTTCAGGACATAAACATTAGAGAATATGGACTGTTTCTTGGAGCATCTTTAAGATCATGGATGACCCAACCTTGACCTAGCAGCTGTGGAAATGCCCAAGCCTTTTACAGATTCAAATAAGACTGTCTAACTCTGGTCACTAAATGCTAGGAATAATTTTAAGGTAGAGGTGAACTCTAGATGTTTGCTACTGTGTTCATATTTTGTTTGAAAACTCTATTCAGAACTCCAGTTCCTGCGCTTTCTCTCATTTCTATATTTTGCTGTCACCATTAGGATGGTGGTAGATCTGTTTCCAAATGTAATTCAGAAAATGTCAGAAAATGAACAGTCTAAATGTTGCCACCTATAGATAACAAACTGCATTTTATTTTATGACAATGCAAATTTAAAAAAAAAAGAGCAGGGAAAGGAAAAATGAGTGATCCCATTTGAATTCTGTTTCCAATCTGGCTATTAGCAATTTTGTATATATTCTCCTTCGTCATTAACACTTATGAGTAGTGTCTCCAATCACCCTGCTTTTTTGACTAATGCCCCAGTGGGGCTCTTTACCATTAACCATATTGGAAAGGGATTTGAATGGAGATCTTCTTCTCTATGATAGCAACATTCCAACTGGTAATTTTGAGGCTTGGCCCCTTTACACTTAGCCCATATTTTCTGCTTTGAGCAAATCTGCCTCTTTCTCATCTTACCCATTTTTGCTTATTTACTTCCCTATATTATTTGTGAGCAATTGATTTCCTGGACGATGTAGCAAGGTCTTTCAGTGTTGGGGTGCTTTCAAATGCATACTTGTGGTTTTCGCAAGTTCAAACACAGACTTTGGCATAATAAGCATGTATTAATTTTTGATATGTAAATCAATAGAATTGAAAAATTATATATATATATATCATAATGTTATTGGTCTAGGTTAATATAGAACCTATCCTAAATTTTGCTCAGTTAATATTTATCTTATTTTTCATACTAAGATTTTATCATTTTCTTAAGATCACAAATTTTTTTTTAATTAATAATGAACAGAAATTTATTTCTCACAGTTCTGGAGCATGGGAAGTCCAAGATCAAGGGGACAGCATCTGGCAAGGGCCTTCTTGCTACATCATCCCATGGCAGAAAATGGAAAGGCAAGAGAGAGACTCTATTCCTGAAAGTCTTTTAAAAAAATGATTTTTTTAAAGAGATGGGGGTCTCACTATGTTGTTCAGGCTGGACTGCAATGTCTATTCACAGGCACAGTTATGGCACACTACAGCTTCAAACTGCTGTGCTCAAGTGATCCTCCTGCCTTAGTCTCCCAAGTAGCTCCCTGAAAGCTGGCTCCTCAAAAGCCTCTTTTTTTTTTTAATTATACTTTAAGTTCTAGGGTACATGTGCACAATGTGCAGGTTTGTTATGTATGTATACATGTGCCATGTTGGTGTGCTGCACTCATTAACTCATCATTTACATGAGGTGTATCTTCTAATGATATCCCTCCCCACTCCCACCACCCCACGACAGGCCCTGGTGTGTGATGGTGTTTGGGAGTGTTCTCATTGTTCAGTTCCCACCTATGAATGGGTGAGAACATGTGGTATTTGGTTTTCTGTCCTTGCGATAATTTGCTCAGAATGATGGTTTCCAACTTCATCCATGTCCCTACAAAGGACATGAACTCATCCTTTTTTATGGCTGCATAGTATTCCATGGTATATATGTGCCACATTTTCTTAATCCGGTCTATCGTTGATGGACATTTGGGTTGGTTCCAAGTCTTTGCTATTGTGAATAGTGCACAATAAACATATGTGTGCAAGAAGATCACAAACTTTTAAATGTGTATTTTCTGTATTCTGAAATTAAAATATATTTGTGTAGGGATATAGCTATTTAAAAACATTCTTAGAAAAGTAAAACAAACAAAAAACAAAAAAACCTCTACATTAAACTCTACTTTTCCACTGTTTTCTATATATTTTTATTCTTTTAAAAGCTTTTCCATCCTGGCTAACACAGTGAAACCCCGTCTCTACTAAAAAAATACAAAAAAATTAGCCGGGCATGGTGGCAGGTGCCTTGTAGTCCCAGGTACTCGGGAGGCTGAGACAGGAGAATGGTGTGAATCCCGGAGGCAGAGCTTGCAGTGAGCTGAGATCGCTACCACTGCACTCCAGCCTGGACAACAAGCGAGACTCCGTCTTAAAAAAAAAAAAAAAAAAAAAAAAGCCTTTCATAACTAACAGTTTTAGAAAGCCCCCTTACAGATTAATGGATTGACTGAAAGTGAAATTGTCAATGAATGCTGTCTCTATTCAGTGACAACACTAGCCTTTGGATTTGGTCCGGATTTTTATATAAAATCTCTCCTGAGTATGTTTAATAACTTCAGAAAAATCACACCTGAAAAGAAACCATTCATAAAAAAACGCAAGGAATGAAAAGGTAGAGGATGTTCAGGAAAAGAAGGTATGTTTAATGTCTTAGGTCACATTTTTCTTAAAGTTACATATTAAGCACTGTGCTTATGTACAAATTTCAGAAGGTACATATGTGGTATCACCACTGTAATACAGCCGTGTTAAGACACTACTGCCGAAGTGGTTCCTCATTCCTTTGTTTCTAATAAATTACAATGATATATGATATTTACTCCCATAGGCCTCAGTGGTTTTTTTTGTGGGCTTGGGCGTAAAGAACCCCATATCCAGGTTGTGTATATTTCCTTCTTTAACAGTTGTAGCACTTCCTCTTTCTCTGTCACTAACCTTATGCTGAGAGAAAAAAGGTGAGACTCTCCAAAAATTTTATCTATTGTGTAAAAACAGATGTGGAAAGAGCAGGCATAAGGTACAGTCTTATGATTATAACACAGTTTTAAAGTAAGATGTCTAAATATCTCATTTTCCATTTAGTTACTGAGTGTTACTAAAAGTTCCAGGCACTGCTCAGTTCAGAAGCTAACATTTCCTGAAAAAGTGGAGAACTCCAATGAAGCTCTTCCCTGGAGACCCAATGATAAACACAAACTCCAGGAACTCCACGAATCAATCGTTCCTATTCTTATGGAGTTTCGAGTCTGATGATCTTTAACCTGAAAAGACATTCTAATTTCCTGAATCCATACTATGTTGTACTAGGTCAGGAATTGGCACACTATGGCCTAAGGGCCAAATCTGGCCTACGACCTGTTTTTGTAAAGTTTTACTGGAACACAGCCATGCCCATTTATGTGCATATTGTCTGTGGCGGCTTTTGTGCTACAAAAGCAGAACTGAGTTGTTGTGATAGACGCCATATGGGTTGCAAAGCCTAAAATATTTACTGTCTGTTCCTTTACAGAAAAAAAATTGCCAACGCCTGTGCTAGGTGAAATGATAACCCATAGACAACTATGTTATCTATTTAAAGCTGGTTTTACTTCCTACACCCCAGTGAATCCTTTTTAACACCCCACTGTGTTTACTCTGCTGATTATTTCTTTTGCTGTGCAGGAGATTTTTAGCTAATTAAGTCCCATTTATTTATCTTTGCATTTGCTTTTGGGCTCTTGGTCATGAAGTCTTTGTGTAAACCAATGTCTAGAAGTCTAGAAGGGTTTTTCTGATGTTATCTTCTCAAATCTTTATGGTTTCAGGTGTTAGATTTAAGTCTTTCATCCATCTTGAGTTGATTTTTGTATAAGGTGAGAGGTGAGGATCCAGTTTCTTTCTTCTACATGTGGCTTGCCAATTATCCCAGAACTGTTTGTTTAATAGGGTGTCCTTTTCCCACTTTATTTTTTTGATTGCTTGTTGAAGATCAGTTGGCAGTAAGTATTTGGCTTTATTTCTGGGTTCTCTATTCTGTTCCATTGGTCTATGTGCCTATTTTTATACAACTACCATGCTGTTTTGGTGACTATAGTCTTATAATATAGTTTGAAGTTGGGTAATGTGATTCTTCCAGATTTGTCCTTCTTGCTTTGGCTATGCAGGCTCTTTTGTGATTCCAAATGAACTTTAGGATTGTTTTTTTGAGTTCTGTGAAGAATGATGGTGGTAGTTTGATGGAAGTTGCATTGAATTTTTAGATTGCTTTGGCAGTATGGTCATTTTCACAATATTGATGAGCATGGGATGTGTTTCCATTTGTTTGTGTCATTTATGATTTCTTTCAGCAGTGTTTTTGTAGTTTCCTTGTAGAGTTCTTTCACATCCTTGATTGAGTATATTCCAAAGTACTTTTTTTTGGCAACTATTGTGAAAGAGGTTGAGTTCTTGATTTGATTCTCAGTTTGGCCACTGTTGGTATATAGCAGAGCTACTGATTTGTGTACATTAATTTTGTATCCTGAAACTTTGCTGAATTCGTTTACCAGTTTTGGAGCTTTTTGGATGAGTCTTAAGGGTTTTCTAGGTATACATTCACATCTTCAGCGAACAGTGACATCTGACTTCCTCTTTACCAATTTTGATCCTTTTTCTTTCTCTTGTGTAATTGCTCTAGCTAGGACTTCCAGTACTATGTTGAATAGAAGTAGTGAAAATGGACATCCTTATCTTGTTCCCTTTCTCAGAGGAAACAGGAAAATATCACAATCTTAAATATATATGCACATAACACTGGAAGCCCCAAATTTATAAAACAATTACTACTAGACCTAAGAAGTGAGATAGATGACAACATAATAATACTGGGGGACTTCAATACTCCACTGACAGCACTAGACAGGTCATCAAGACAGAAAGTCAACAAAGAAACAATCGACTTAATGGTTACTCAGAGGTAATCATTTCAATTTTTCCCTGTTGTATAATGTTGTATAATGTTGGCTGTGGGTTTTTCATAGATGGCTCTTATTACCTAAAGTTATGTCCCTTCTATGGTGATTTTACAGAGGATTTTAATCATAAAGGATTCTGGATTTTGTCAAATGCTTTTTCTGCATCTATTGAGATGATCATGTGATTTTAAAAAAATTGTTTATGTGGTGTATCACATTTCTTGACTTGTGTATGTTAAATCATCCCTGTATCCCTAGTATGAAACCCACTTGATTATGGTATATTATCTTTTTGATATGCTGTTAGATTTGATTTGCTGGTATTTTGGTGAGGATTTTTGCATCTATGTTCATCAGGGATATTGGTCTGTATTTTTCTTTTTTTGTTATGTCTTTCCCTGGTTTGGGGTATTGGAGTAATACTGGCTTCATAGAATGTTTTAGGGAACATTTTCTCTTTTTCTGTCTATTGGAATAGTGTCAATAGGATTGGTACTAATTTTTTGAATGTCTGATAGAATTTAGCTGTGAATCCACCTGGTCCTGGACTTTGTTTTTTTGTTGGTAACTTCTTAATTATCATTTCAATCTCACTGCTTGTTATTGGCCTTTTCAGAGATTCTATATCTTCCTGGTTTAACCTTCAAGGGTTATATATTTCCAGGAATTCATTCATCTTCTCTAGGTTTTCTAGTTTATGCAAATAAAGATGTTCATAGTAGCTTTGAATAAACTTTTGCATTTCTGTGATATCAGTTGTAATATCTTCTCTTCCATTTCTAATTGAGCTTATTTGGATCTTCTCTCTTCTTGGTTTATCTCACTAATGGCTTATCAATTTTATTTATCTTTTCAAAGAACCAGCTTTTTGTTTCATTTATCTTTTGTATTGTTTTTTGTTTGTTTGTTTGTTTCAATTTCATTTAGTTCTGCTCTGATCTTTGTTATTTCTTTTCTTCTGCTGGGTTTGGGTTTGGATCATTCTTGCTTTTCCAGTCCCATGAGGTGTAACCTTAGATTGTCTATTTGTGCTCTTTCATATTTTGATGTAGGCATTTAATGCTATGAACATTCCTCTTAACACTGCTTTTGCCATATCCTGGAGGTTTTGATAGGTTGTGTCACTATTATTGTTCAGTTCAAAGAATTTTTAAATTTTCATCTTGATTTCATTGTTGACTCAATGATCATTCAAGAGCAGGTTATTTAATTTCTATATATTTGCATGGTTTTGAGGGTTCCTTTTGGAGTTGATTTCCAATTTTATTCCACTATGGTCTGACAGAGTACTTGATATAATTTTGATTTTCTTAAACTTACTGAGACTTGTTTTGTGGCCTATCATATAGTCTATCTTGGAGAACGTTCCACGTGCTGAGTAATAGAATGTTTTTTCTTCAGTTGTTGGGTAGAATGTTCCGTAAATACCCATTAAGTCCATTTGTTGCAGTGTATAGTTTAAGTCAATTGTTTCTTTGTTGACTTTCTGTCTTGATGACCTGTCTAGTACTGTCAGTGGAGTATTGAGGTCCCTCAGTATTATTGTGTTGTCATCTATCTCATTTCTTAGGTCTAGTAGTAATTGTTTTATAAATTTGGGGCTTCCAGTGTTAGGTGCATATATATTTAAGATTGTGATATTTTCCTGTTGAACTAGTCCTTTTATCATCATATAGTGTCTGTCTTTGTCTTTTTTAACTGCTGTTGCTTTAAAGTTTGTTTCATTTGGTGTAAGAATAGCTACTCCTGCTCACTTTTGGTGTCCATTTGCATGGAATGCTTTTTTCCACCCCTTTACCTTAAGTTTATGTTAAGTCCTTATGTGTTAGGTGAGTCTTCTGAAGATTGCAGAAACTTATTTGGTGAATTCTTATCTATTCTGCCATTCTGTGTATTTTCAGTGTCAGGGTTAGGACATTTACATTCAATGTTAGTATTGAGACATAAGGTACTATTCTATTCATCACACTAGTTACTAGTTGTTGCCTGAATACCTCGTTTTTTTGTTTTTCTTTTTTTTTTCATTGTGTTGCTATATAGGTCCTGTGAGATTTATGCTTTGAGGAGGTTCTATTTTGGTGTACTTTGAGAATTTATTTCAAGATTTAGAGCTCCTTTTTGCAGTTCTTGTAGTGCTGGGTTGGTAGTAGCGAATTCTCTCAGCACTTGTTTGTCTGGAAAAGACTGTATCTTCCCTTCACTTATGAAGCTTAGTTTTGCTGGATACAAAATTTTTGGCTGATAATGTTTTGTTTAAGGAGGCTAAAAATAGAACCCCAATCTCTTCTGGCTTGTAGAGTTTCTGCTGGTAAATCAGCTGTTAATCTGAAAAGTTTTCCTCTATAGGTTACCTGATGCTTTTTCTTCACAGCGCTTAAGGTTCTTTTCTTTGTCTTGACTTCAGATAACATGATGACTATGTACTTAGGCACTGATCTTTTTGTGATGAATTTTCCAGGTGTTAGTTGAGCTTCTTGTACTTGCATGTCTAGATCTCTAGTAAAACCAGGGAAGTTTTCCTCGATTATTCCCTCAAAGATGTTTTCCAAACTTTTAGATTTCTCTTCTTCCTCGGGAACACCAATAATTATTTTGTTGGGATTTTTAACATAGTCACAAACCTCTTGGAGGCTTTGCTTATTTTTTAAAAAATCTTTTCTCTTTGTCTTTGATGGATTCGGTTAATTCAAAAGCCTTGTCTTTGAGCTCTGAAGTTCTTTCTTCTGCTTGTTCAATTCTATTGCTGAGACTTTCCAGTGTATTTTTCATTTCTCTAAGTGTGTCCTTGATTTCCAGAAGTTGTGATTGTTTTTTATTTATGCTATCCATTTTACTGAATAATTTACCTTTCATATCCTGTATATTTTTTATTTCTTTAAGTTGGACTTTGTCTGTCTCTGCTGCCTCCTTGATTGCCTTAACAATTGACCTTCTGAATTTCTTTCTGGCCATTCAGAGATTTAGTCTTGGTTTGGATCCATTGCTGATGAGCTGGTATGATCTTTTGGGGGTGTTAAAGAGCCTTGTTTTGTCATATTACCAGAAATGTTTTTCTGGTTCCTTCTCATTTGGGTAGACTATGTCAGAGGGAAGATCTGGGATTCAAGGGCTGCTGTTCAGTTTCTTTTGTCCCATGGGGTACTCCCTTGGTGTGGTGTTCTCCCACTTCTCCTAGGAATGGGGCTTCCTGAGAGCCAAACTGTAGTGATTGTTTTTGATCTTCTGGGTCTAGCCACTCAGCAGAGCTACCAGGCTCTGGGCTGGTACTGGGGAGTGTCTGCAAAGAGTCGTGTGATACGATCCATCTTCAGGCCTTGCAACCATAGATACACAGCACCTGCTCCGGTGGAAGTAGCAGGAGAGTGAAGTGAACTCTGAGGGTCCTCGGTTGTGTTTTTGTTCAGTGCACTGGTTTTGTGTTGGTTGGCCTCAAGCCAGGAGGTGGTGTTTTCAAGAGTGCATCAGCTACAGTCCTGCATAGGGAGGTTGCAAACTTGCCCTAGGGACACCTGGTTAAATGTTCAGGTTTCTCAGGTGGTGGGCAGGGCCACAGAGCCCCCAAGAGATTATAACTTTTGTCTTTAGCTACCAGAGGGGATAGAGAAAGACTACCAGGTAGGGGCAGGGATAGGTGTGTCTGACCTCAGCCTCTCCTTGAGTGAGGTTTGCTAAGGCTGCTGTTGGGGATGGGGGTGTGGTTCCTAGCCCAATGGAGTTATATTCCCAGGGAGATTGTGGCTGCCTCTACTGAGTCATACAAGTCACCGGGGAAGTGGGGGAAAACCAGAAGTTACAGGCTTCACCCTGCTGCCATTCATCCCACAGTCCTAAAGGCCAATCTCACTCTCACCATGGCCCCCCCAACAGCACCGAGTCTATTTCCAGGCAGCCAGTCACCAGGGAAGAGAACTTACCCCAGACCATGAGCCTCCCAGTTGAGAAAGCAAGCAGATTCACAGTTTTTGGCATCTCAGGGAGTCTGCAGGGGTGGTACAGTTCCTTCAAAGGGTCTGTGGATTCTCTTGGCTTTCCTGATATGTTCCTGCAGTAGTTCTTGGAGCAAAAGTTGATAACATGAGTCTCCACGTGCTGCTCCATCCATCTGAGTGAGAGCTGTAAGCTATTCCTGCCTCCTACCCGCAATCTTCTGGCATTTGACTTTCAACTGCTGCCATGGAAAATGACATACCAGGTATACTTTTATAAACAACCTTGAACCTTGAAAGTTTTTAAAATGCTTTTCTTGTTACTTCTCAGATCTAAACCCTAGAATTTGGATTCTTCACATAAAAAAATATGGCTTGAAAAATAGTTTTTAAAATATATATTAAAAAATTTATATTTTTATAAATAAAAAATTATATATATATAAATTTCAGTCAACAAACCATTGACATGCCAAGCCATATGGGAGCTTGAGGCAGAAGTAAAAATCAGTAATAGCGATCCTGTCTTTATAGTAATACTATCAGCAACACTGGTACTGATACAACTGATACAACACTGACAGCAATATTGTCAGCAGTACTGATAGTATTACTATCAATGTAGTAATACTGATACTTGACATTTTGATATTTTGTTTATCATAGGTTTTTCACACCAATCGATTATTAAAATGTCACATAAAGTGTCATTTACGTTTATTACTGAGTTTTTTGGCACTCCCTTGAATTTTGCTTGAAAAGCCAGTGCCTCACTCACCCTAGTCTCAGCCCTGCACAAAGCCAAATATTTTAAAGATAATTTTCTTTCACTGAGAAAATAATGTTAAATAAAGTTGCAAAGAAAAAATCATTCTGATACTCTTTTCCTTCATGACCTTGTTTTTAGTTTTACAATAGAATAAAATTTCATATAAATATGTGTTTTTCATCTGCTTATATTTGATAACTGAGGTGTCAGAGGGAGGATACAGGAATCTGCATGTGGACGATAATCATTGGTGGATATTTCACAGTGGGTGAAGGGTGAAGGTTGTCTAGGAAACAGCTTTATACTCTGGGGATTGGTTGTCTTTTACTTCCTCCTTCATTTTTGAATCGATGTAAACTATAATCCCGGTAAGTGCATCTCTCCTGACTTTCACTCCCATGGTCTATCCCAGAGTCTCTATAGAAAGGAATTCAGAGAGTGTTAGAAAGAAGCAAGTTTTTCCAGCCAAAATCTAAAACCATGCCCTCTAGTCATTTTTTAGTAACAATGCTAACATCTTCTTCATTAATCCACCTCTTATGCCTTATTCTCAACTAGTTCTAAACATGAGATGGGAAGAAAGGGCTGTTGTTCTTTATTGACTTTAAATCTAATCAGAAAGATCTTTTGATTTTAGACATTTTAACTCTAATAGTAAACTTAAAGTCATCTCTGGTCTGCCCACATTTTACTCATAATTTTGATTCCTTTACAAATGGATAAACTTAACAAAAAGGAAGCCTTTTATTTTAAATTAAAATGAAGTATCAACAAAACAGATTATTTAAAAAACAAAACATAACTTGATAATTTTAAATCTTATTTTCATTTTGCATGTTGACCTCACCAAATGCATGTTTGTTTCATAGTTGCTATGTTACATAGCAAATATATTCTGATTTTTCATTCTACATTCTATCAAATACATTTTTCTATATTTACATAATCATAACAGTATTTATATATTGTGCTATAACTTACCAAATCGTGTCCTATTTAAACATTTTGATTTTTTAAAATTTTTATTCTAATGAAGATAATCAACATATGTATATACACACACATCCATACACACACATGTGTTTCTGTTTACAGTGCTGTTTTCTTCATATGAATAACTAGAAGTAGGGTTACTAGGTCAAAAATATGACTATATTTATGGTTGTAGTTACCTATAGTTACCTATTCAAGCTTTTTTTAGAGGTGTGATTGTGTTTTTAAAAATTATTTGAGCTTTCCTTTCTAAATTTCAAAATAATTTATGTATTTTGGTGTTATCTTACTGATAAAACACCAAGCAAACTCTAATATATAGATAAGAACACTGAAGTATAAAGCAAGGTAAGGTATTTGTTTTTATGTGTTACAAATAGTTGGATTAAAAACATCAACAGTGAGTTACTTCATTTATATAACAAAAACATCTGAATACACAAAAGTAGACACTTTTTTTTCTAAAAGGTTTTTTTAATGTTTTTTATCTGGCTGTTATAATGCTATGTAAATATACCTTGTTCCCAATTAAAATATTAGTTACAAAATAGGAACATGTAGTAAATGATGATCACATACGTTCAAACAAGTTAAAATTGAAATAAAATGTACTGCTGTTAGAAGGTAAACTGAGGCAAAATGACATTTTTAAAGCGTTTATTTGAGCAAATAGCAGTTCATGAACTGGGCAGCTCCAACCTAAAGGAGGTTTCAGGCTTCACCAAGAGAACTAAAGAGGAAGGTTTTTTATAGGGCAAACATGGAAATAAAGCAAATATATATATATATATATATATATATATATATATATTTGATTAGTTACAGTTATACAGTTGCCTTATTAGGTCTATCCTGCTAAAAAGTCTCTAGTAATACATATACTTGTAAGTTGATTGGCAGCTTCTGTTTGATTAGCCTGAAGTTTCATATTTACTTAATATAGGTAATTACAAAAAAAAAAAAAAGGCTTGCTAAGTTTCTCTTAAGTTTGAAAATCAGGAAAGGTTAAGGTAACTTATGAGACCTAACTGGCTTTGTCTGCTTAGGGATTCTCCAGGCCTGATCTCCATCTAAATTTATTTTAACATTGCTAAAACTGAGGTCACCATAAAATGACGATTCTTATTTTACTATTGAAGGAAGACTAAGGCTGTAAAGCAGAATATAGAAAGTACAAAACACTATTTTCTAGCAGTTACTAAAATTCTTTTGGAATTCCTTTCCTTATTTATTACATTTCACTAAGCCAAAATTCTTTTGTTTAAAAATCTATGAATTGAGTATGACCATTAAAACATTATTTTAGTTTTCCTTTGCTTTTTTGGTTTTTGGTTTCTTGTTTCAAACTTATTCTCAAAGATTTCCAGTATCAAAATTCATAGAAACATTCAGATTTCATCTGGCACCATTTTAGATTCATTTATAAAAATAAATCTTAATGTGAAGACCATTGCTAATTGGAAAAAAAAAGCTAAACAATTACTTGCATAATTAAATTCCCATATCATTTTTTCATTAGTATATTTTTGCCTAGGGAATTGACTTTTGAACTTTTTATTTCAAGTCCCAGCTCTGATGTTATAGATCGGAACTGTAAAATTAAGTAGATAAAACAAGTCGGTCCCCATTGTCACTCAGGCTATTTGTAGTAGTTCTTAAATTTGACCAGATTGTGTTTCATATTTACAATATACTTTGCCTAAAAATTATCAAAATAATTTGCAAGCTATATGAAAACAGAATACATTAGGAATACAATTACAGGTGCACCCAGCTTTTTTTTTTAAAAAAAAGGCAGATATAAAAATAATATATTAAGTAGCAGATATATTATTTAATGAGTGCTTGAACTAGAAAAATTAGAAATGGTGTATTACTATCATAAGGATTCCTTTTTTTCCTAATGAGCTTTCCTATTTATATAAAATGTTATTTGATTTTTTAAAATTCCATTTGGCAAAATTTTCAGGAATATGTTACTTGCCCTCTGTGTCAGTCTCTCTGGTTACAAAATATTGGTGTTTCAAATAGAGAAATGCATCTAATTGGATGAAAAAGTATTGGAGTGGCTGGAGGAGCAAAATGAGGAGGTGAGTTAAACCAGATAATAGTAAATACACAAAACTGCTATCACCTTAGGAAGGAGAAAGGAAAATCACCCAGATTGCATGACCGCTTTGTAGCTGAGGCTGAGAAAACTGCTGCCATTGGAATCAGTTGGAGGAAACCAGAAGCTCACACCACAACTAACGCTGCAAAATCCCAAGGCCTGTAGCTACACCTGCTGAAGCCGGAGCCCAAAAGAACTTTGCTAAAGGCCACGTGACACACCTAATGCCTCCACCACCTCTACAACAGAAACCTGAGCAGAAACCTGTAATCCATACTCCTGTGAAGGAGTCTGCACCTTTGCTATTTATTCTACTACCACAAGTACAGCCTAAAAGAGTAAAGCAATAGAAAAATGGCATCCTTCCTTTCAGTTTATAACTTTCCACTGCTTACCATCATCAGAACATAACAGAAAGCCTGCGGTGTGGGGAGATGGAGTAGCTGGGAAACGTAGGTTTCCAGGTTTCTAGTCCTCATGGCACAAATCAGAGCAAAGGTTGGTAAGAGTGGAGCAAAGGAACAAATACGTGATGTCACAGCCTTACATAGCATACAACTTATAAATATTTTATTTCTTCTTCAAACACTTGAAAGGTATAAAAGTTAAAATAATAGTTATAGTTGTAATATCAACAAATAATTATTTGATTCTTGTGCTGTGAACATGATTTAACAGGAGTACTTGACTACATACATACACACAAATAAACTGTGATTAGAAAGTAGGGTAAAATTCTTGTTGCCTCAAAGAGACAAGGTGATTTTGCAATTATCTGAGAACACAGATCCCATCTGTGTTGGCTATCTCAGCCCATTCTCATTCCAGGGGAAGCTATTGCAGTTGCAGACTCTGCTCTGAACAGTTAAAATGACTTCTGATGCTAACTACCTGGAGTTAAGCCACGCTTCACAGGTTCAGGGCACATTCTTCCACATGACTGCTCTCACTTCAAACACCAGCCACAAACTTAGGTGTTTCTAGACTATCATTACTTCTGACCAATTAACTGCAAATCTGGTGGCTTCCAATATCCCTGGCATTTTGATAATTGTCTAGAACAAATCACAGAACTCAGGAAAGTGCTATACTTAAAACAGTTTTATTAAATCAAAAAAGAAGCAAATCAGAACCAGCCAAAAGAAGAGACTCATAAAACGAAATCTGACAGGGTCCAAACATGAAGTTTTCAATATCATCTCCCCATGGGTCAGAATGTACCCCTTTCACCATGTGAAGTACTGCCAGCAGGGAAGCTCACCCAGGTTCCAGTGTCCAGAGTTCTATTGGTGTTTCATTGCATCGGAATGATGGATTGAATCATTGGCCTGTGATTAAACTGAAAGCCCACATCCCCTTTTCTCCCTGAAGGTCAGATAGGTATCATGTGGCTCAAAGCTTCAGTCTTCTAATCACATGGTTGGTCTTTTTGGTGTGGTTAGCTCACATTGTAAGTCACTGCCTTATTACAAACTATCTACAGATAGACGTGTCACTTTTTAGCATAAACTACCCGTAAATGACAGACACTCCTATAACTCCAGAAATTCCAGAGATTTGCAGGCTACCTCTCAGAAACTAAGGGAAAAGTCCAGCCAAATTCTGTTTTAAGAAAGCACTTTTACATTATTCTTTTACTAAATTATTGTTTTAAAATAATTTCAACTTTTATTTTCGATTCAGAGGGTACATGTATAGGTTTGCTACCTGGGTATATAGAGTGATGCTGAGGTTTGAGTTAAAAATGATCCCATCATCCAGGTAATGAGCACAGAACCCAAAAGGTAATTTTTCAGCCCTTGACTCCCTTCCCTCTCTCCCTTTTAGTAGCCCCAATGTTTTGTTGTTCTCATTTTTATGTCTATATGTACCCAATGTTCAGCTCCCATGCATAAGTGACACCATGAAGTATTTGGTTATCTGATCTGTTCCCATGATAATTCACTTAGGATGACGGCCTCCAGCTGCATCCATGTTGCTACAAAGGACATTATTTCATTCATTTTATGGCTGCATAGGATTCCATTATGTATATGTATTACATTTTCTTTATCCAATCCAACAGTGCTGGGGCCCTAGGTTGATTGATTCCATGTCTGCTATTGTGAATAGTGCTTCCATGAACATACAAGTACATATGTCTTTTTGGTAGAATAATTTATTTTTCTTCAGGTATATATCCAGTAATGGGATTGCTGGGTAGAATGGTAGTTCTGTTTTCAGTTCTTTTTTTCTTTTTCTTTTTCTTTTGAGTTGGAATATCACTCTGTCACCCAGGCTGGAGTGCAGTGGTGTAGTCTCAGCTCACTGCAACCTCCACCTACCGGGTTCAAGCAATTCTCCTGCCTCAGCCTCCCGAGTAGCTGGAATTACAGGTGTCTGCTACCATGCCCAGCGAATTTTTATATTTTTAGTAGAGATGGGGTTTCACCGTGTTGACCAGGCTGGTCTCGAATTCTTGATCTCAAGTGATCCACCTGCCTTGGCCTCTCAAAGTGCTAGGATTACAGGCATAAGCCATTGTGCCCGGCCTGTTTTCAGTTCTTTAAGAAATCTCCAAACTGCTTTCCAAAGTGGCTGAACTAATTGACATTCACACCAACATTGTAAAGGTGTTCCTTTTTCCACAGCCTTGCCAGCTGTATTAGTCCATTTTCATGCTGCTGATAAAGACATACCCAAGACTGGGAAGTAGAAAATGTTTAATGGACTTACAGTTCCACATAGCTGGGGAGGCCTCACAATCGTGGCAGAAGGCAAGGAGGAGCAAGTCATGTCTTAATGGTGGCAAGCAAAAAGAGGGAGTGTGTATAGGGAAATTCCCATCTATAAAGTCATCAGATCTCATTAGACTTATTCATTATCACGAGAACAACATGAAAAAGTTCCATGATTCAGTTACCTCTGTGAGTCAATTACTTCCCACCAGGTTTCTCCCAGGGCACATAAGAATTGTGGGAGTTACAACTGAAGATGAGATTTGGGTTGAGACACAGAGCCAAACCATATCATTCCACCCTAGCCCCTCCCAAATCTCATGTCCTCACATTTCAAAACAAATCACATCTTCCCAACAATCCCCTGAAGTCTTAATTCATTTCAGCAATAACTCAAAAGTCCACAGTCCAAAGACTCATTTAAGACAAGGTATGTCCCATCCACTTATGAGCCTGTAAAATCAAAAGCAAGTTAGTTACTTCCTAGATACAATGGAGGTACAAGCATTGGGTAAATACAGCCAATCCAAATGGGAGAAATTGGCCAAAACAAAGGGGCTAGAGGCCCCATGCAAGCCCAAAATCCAGTGGGGCAATCAAATCTTAAAGCTCCAAAATAATCTCCTTTGGGTCCATGTCACACAGCTAGGTCACGCTGGTGCAAGAGGTGAGTTCCCATGGTTTTGGATAGCTCCACCCCTGTGGCTTTGCAGGATACAGCCTCCTTCCCCACTGCCTTCACAGGTTGGCATTAAGTGTCCGTGGCTTTTCCAGGCGCACAAAGCAAGCTGTCAGTGGATCTACCATTCTGGCTTCTGGAGGATGGCAGCCCTCTTCTCACACCTCCACTAGGCAGTGCCCTAGCAGGGACTCTTTATGGGGGCTCTGACTGCACATTTCCCTTCTGCACTGCCCTAGCAGAGGTTCTCCATAAGGACCCCACCTCTTCAGCAAACTTCTGCCTGAGTATCCAGGCATTTCCATACATCTTCTGAAATCTAGGCAGAGGTTCCCAAACCTTAACTCTTGACTTCTGTGCATTTGCAGCCTCAACACCACGTGAAAGCTGCCCAGGCTTGGGGCTTGTACCCTCTAAAGCCATGGTCCAAGCTCTCCATTGGCCACTTTCAGCCACAGCTGGAGGGGCTGGGAAGAGGGCACCAAGTCCCTAGGCTTCACACAGCACGGGGACCCTAGGCCTGGCCCATGAAGCCACTTTTTCCTCCTAGGCCTCTGGACCTGTGAAGGGAGAGACTGCCATGAAGACCGCTGACATGCTCTGGAGACATTTTCCCCATTGTCTTGATGACTAACATTCTTCTCCTTGTTACTTATGCAAATTTCTGCAGCTAGCTTGAATTTCTCCTCAGAAATTGGGATTTTCTTTTCTATCACATCGTCGGCTGCAAATTTCTGAACTTTTATGCTCTGCTTCCTTTATAAAATGGAATGCCTTTAGCAGCACCCAAGTCACATCTTGATTGCTTTGCTCCTTAGAAATTTCTTCTGCCAGATACCCTAAATCATCTCTTTCAAAGTTCAAAGTTCCACAGATCTCTGGGGCAGGGGCAAAATGCCACCAGTCTCTTTGCTAAAACATAACAAGAGTCACCTTTGCTCCAGTTCCTAACAAGTTCCTCATCTCCATCTGAGACCACGTCAGCCTGGATTTCATTGTCCATATCATTATCAGCATTTTAGTCAAAGCCATTCAATAAGTCTCTAGGGAGTTCCAAACTTTCCCACACTTTCCTGTCTTCTGAGCCCTCCAACTGTCCCAACACCTGTTACCCAGTTTCAAAGTCACTTCCACATTTTTGGGTATCTTTTCAGTAGCACCCCACTCTTGGTAACAATTTACTGTATTAGTCCATTTTCATGCTGCTGATAAAGACAGACCCGAGACTGAGAATAAAAAGAGGTTTAATGGACTTACAGTTCCACATGGCTGGGGAGGCCTCACAATCATGGCGGAAGGCAAAGAGGAGCAAGTCACATCTTACATGGATGGCACCAGACAAAAGGAGAGAGTTGTGCAGGGAAACTTCTGTTTTTAAAGTCATCCGACCTTATAAGACATATTCACTATCAAAAGAACAGCATGGAAAAGACCCACCCTCGTGAATCAATTACCTCCCACTGGGTTCCTTCCATGAAACATGGGAATTGTGAAAGTTACAATTAGAGATGAGATTTGGGTGGGGACACAGCCAAACCATATCACTGGCCTCTGTTATTTTTTTATCTTTTTAATCATAGCCATTCTGAGAGGTATGAGGTGGTATCTCCTTGTGGCTTTGATGTGCATTTCTCTGATGATTAGTGATTTGGAGTGTTTTTTTTTTTTCATGTTTGTTGGCTGCCTATGTGTCTTCTTAGGAGAAGAGCCTGTTAATGTCCTTTGCCCACGTTTTAATAGGGTATTTTGGTTTTTGCTTGTTGATTTGTTTAGGTTTCTTAAAATTCTGGATATTAGACCTTTGTTGAATGCATAATTTATGAATATTTTCTCCCATTCTGTGGATTGTTTATTCTGTTGATAGCTTCTTTCATTGTGCAAAAGTTTTTTAGTTTAATTAGATCCCACTTATCACTTTTTGTTTTTGTTTCAGTTGCTTTTGAGGACTTAGTCATAAGTTCTTTGCCAAGGCCAATGTTCAGAATGGTATTTCCTAGGTTTTCTTATAGGAATTTTATAGTATGAGGACTTACATTTAAATCTTTAATCCATCTGGAGTTAATTTTTGTATACGGTGAAAAGTAAGGATTCAATTTCATTCTTCTGCATATGGCTAGCTGGATATCCTAGTACCATTTATTGAATAGAGAGTCCTTTCCCCATTGTTTATTTTTGTCAGCTTTGTCGAAGATGAGACGGTTGTAGGTATGTGACTTTATTCGATTCCACTGGTCTGCGCGTCTATTTTTGCACCAGTACCTTGTTTTGGTTGTCGCTAATAGTATAGTTTGAAGTTGGGTACTGTGATACTTCCAGCTTTGTTTTGTTTTTTTTTGTTTTTTTGTTTGTTTGTTTGTTTGTTTTTGGTTTAGGATTGCTTTTGCTATTTGGGTTTTTTTTTTAATTCCATATGAATTTTAGAATTGTTTTTTTCTAATTCTGTGAAAAAAATGACAATTGGTAGGTTGATAGTAATAGCATTGACTCTGTAATAGCTTTGGGCAGTATGATGATCTTAATGATATTAATACTTCTAATCCATGAGCATAGAATGTTTTTCCATTTGTTTGTGTTATCTCTGATTTCTTTCACCAAGGTTTTGTGTGTTTTTTTCTTTGTAGAGATCTGTCATCTCTTTGGTTAGATGTATTCCTAGGCATTTTATTTTTTCTGTGGTTATGTAAAGGAGATTGTGTTCTTGATTTGGCTCCCAGTTTGGACATCATTAGTATATAGAAATGTTACTGAATTTTTGTACATTGACTTTGTACCCTGAAACTTTACTGTAATCATTTATCAGATTGGGGAGCCTTTTGATGGTGTCTTTAGGGTTTTCTAAATATAGAGTCCTATCATCAGTGAAGAGAAATAATTTGACTTTTTGTAGTCCTATGTGGATGCCTTTTATTTCCTTCTCTTGCCTGATTGCTTTGGCTAGGACTTCTAGCACTACACTGAATAGGAGTGGTGGGAGTGGGGTACCTTGTTGTGTTCCAGTCCTTCAGGGAAATGCTTCCAGATTTTGCCTGTTTAATATGTTGCTGGCTGTGGGTTTGCCAGAGACAGCTCTTATCATTTTGAGGTACATTCCTTCAATGCCTAGTTCATTGAAGAGATGTTAGATTTTCATGAAGAGACATTAGATTATCATGAAGAGATGTTAGATTTTATTAAAAGCATTCTCTGCATCTATTGAGATGATTACATGGTTTTATTTTTAATTACATGCATGTGGTGAATCACATTTATTGATTTGTGTATGTTGAGCCATCCTTGCATGGCAGGAATAAAGCCTACTTGATTATGGTGACTTAACTTTTTGATGTGCTGTTGGATTCTATTTTCTATAGTTTGGTTGAGGATTTTTGTTTCTATGTTCATCAGGAATATTGGGATGTAGTTTTTTTGTTGTTGTGTCTTGCCAGATTTTGGTGTCAGGGTGATGCTGGCTTCATACTTAGCTTCATAAGCAGTGGAGAAATAAAAAAATTTACAACAAGCAATTGCTAAGGAAATTCATCACCACTAGGCCAGCCTTACAGGAGAGCCTGGAATTTCTAAACATAGGGAAAAAAGAATAATACATGCTACCACAAAAACACACTTACTTACATCGTCCACAAACCCTATAAAGCAACTACAAAGCAGTTACAATAGAAACTACAATGCAGCCGGGCGCAGTGGCTCACGCCTGTAATCCCAGCACTTTGGGAGGCCGAGGCGGGTGGATCACAAGGTTGGGAGATCGAGCCCATCCTGGCTAACACGGTGAAACCCCGTCTCTACTAAAAATACAAAAAATTAGCCAGGTGTGGTGGCAGGCACCTGTAATCCCAGCTACTTGGGAGGCTGAGTCAGGAGAATGGTGGGAACCCAGGAGGCAGTGCTTGCAGTGAGCTGAGATCATGCCACTGCACTCCAACCTGGGCAACAGAGCAAGATTCTGTCGCAAAAAAAAAAAAAAAGAAAAGAAAAGAAACTACAACACAACCAGCTAACAACCTCACTATAGGTTGAAAACCTCACAAATCTATATTAACCTGGAATGAAAATGGTCTAAATGCCCCCGCTGAAGAGGCACAGAGTGACAAGTTGGGTGAAAAAACAAGGCCCATTCATCTGCTATCTTCAAAAGAACCTGTAATAACACTCATAGGCTCAAAGAAAAGAGTTGGAGCAATATCTACCATGTAAATGGAAAACATCAAAAAAGCAGGGGCCACTATTCTTATATCATATAAAACAGACTTTAAACCAATTATAGTAAAAAAGGATGAAGAAGGGCATTACATAATGAAAAAGTGTTCAATTCAACATGAAGGCCTAACTGGGTGTGTAACTAAATATATACACACCCAACACTGGGGCACCCAGATTCATAAAACAAGTACTTAGAGACCTACAAAAAGACTTAGATAGCTACACAATAATAGTTGGAGACTTCAACACCCCACTGATAGCAGTGGACAGATCTTCAAGCCATAAAGCTAACAAAGAAATTCTAAACTTAAATTCAATACTTGACCAATAGGTCCTAATACACATCTATAGACTACTTCCCACATCAACCACAGAATGTATATCCTTCTCATCTGCACAGAAAACATACCCTACGATTGACCATGGGCTCAGCCATAAAACTTGTCTCAATAAACCAAAAAAAATCAAAGTCATACCAACCATACTCTCAGACCATAACATAGTAAAAATAGAAATAAATAGCAAGAAAATCTCACATGACTGTATGTAAATTAAATAACTTGCTCCTGAATGACTTTTGGGTAAACAATGAAATTAAGGCAGGAATAAAAAAAATTATTTGAAATAAATGAAAATGGAGACACAACATAGCGAAATATCTGGGATATAGCAAAATCAGTGTTGAGAAAAATCATAGGCTAAATTCTTACATTAAAAAGTTAGAAATATCTCAAATTAACTATCCAATATCACACCTAGAGGAACTAGAAAAACAAGAACAAACTAACTCCAAAGCTAACAGAAGAAAAGAAATCACTAAAATCAGAGAAGAACTCAACAAAATTGAGACCAAAACTTTATACAAAAAATCAACCAAAGCAAATGTTCATTCTTTGAAAGGATAAGCAAGACTGATAGACTGCTAACTAGATTAACAAAGAAAAAAAGATAGAAGGTCCAAACAAGCATAATCAGAAAAGACAAATTTACATTACAACCATTTCCACAGAAATACACAAAAGATTTTCAGAGATGATTATGAACACCTCTGTGCACACAAACTAGAAAATCTAGAGGAAATAGACAAATTCCTGGACACACACCCTTACAAGTTTGAATTAAGATGAAATTGAAACCATGAAGAGAACAATATCAAGTTCTAAAATGGAATCTGTCATTAAAAACCTATGAATCAAATAAATCCCTGGACCAGATGGATTCATAGCCAAATTGCACCAGACATACAAAGAAGAGCTGGTACCGGTTCTACTGAAACTATTCCAAAAAATTGAGAAAGAGGGATCTTTCCTTAATTTGGCCAAATTCTTTATTACAAAAGACCAGTTTTTAAGCCAATCCTTACGAGGGCACATCCTCAGCCTCTATTTCTATGTCACTAAATGAGGTCTGAAGTTCTTTCTGTGGCTCCAAACCTGGTATACAGAATTTAGTTAGTCTCCCCTCTAGGGGTTACTAGGAAATGCCTCTGCACCTCTGTGTGTGGCTAGTCCAACATGTATATACTCCACCTGCACCTAAGAACATAGCTGCCTTACCTGACTCCCAGTAATTAAGTTCTGCCTAAAGCCTCCCATTGTCTTGCCCGTGTCATTTACTAAGATCTCTTGGACAATGACTGCAGCATATGTTTGGAGTGACTTTTTCCACCTTGGACAATGTGACTTTGGGCTGTAGACATTTTCTGCTCTCACTGCTAGTTCACTATTGAGGATTGAAGATAATATGCGTGTAGACTATGACAAGATGAAGAATCAATTTCAGAGAAGAAGCTTCTTATTAATATAAACTTACCGGATGTTTTTGAGAAAAAAATTAACAAAAATGATTTCCTGATGACATTGAAAAGAGCCTTTTAAAATAAGTTAGAAAGCTAAGTGAGATGTGATGATTTCCACTATGTCATTAATTTCTGTGAAAATTATTAACTATTACAAAGTACATCACCTAAATATATGTGTGTGTGTGTGTGTGTATATATATATATAATATATAAATTATTCATTTGGTTTAAGTAACATTTTCTACTATATGATTGGGCAGATAATGGAATTATTGAACTGGCTTAATGTTTCTTGCTGTTGGCACGTTTTAGAAAATATAATAAGAATGCCGGAACTGGAATTGAAAAAGAGGTTAAGTATCACTTTGCATAATCTTTAGTAGAGTGATGATAAATTGGATTATTTCATTGGTCCTTCAATAATGAGGCCTATTGTTTGTCAATTACTGATCACAATTGTTTGGTTCCCCTTAGTAATAATATACATGTGCACTTTGCCATGGATTTGGAATACACATAGTGTATTTCCCTGATCGTCAGTCATGTAATTTGTGTTGGACAAAAGATGTTAGTAGCAGATGTGACAAGTGGAGAACTGAGATGTGCTTGTGTGCTTGGGCATGTTTCATGCACTTCTGGAATTACATGAGAAGAGATTCTCATAGGGAGTTATTGGCAGTTCACCCGGGACCCTAGAGTTTTGGCACACAGAACAGACCTGAGCCTCACGTACAGCAGAGACCAGAGCATGCACAGACCTGACTCACAGCTTGGAGCCAAGACCAGCTGAGCTCAGCCTCGACAGCTAAGCCAGAGCTGACCTACAAACACACAAAAGTTAATAAATAATTGTTATTTTAAGCCATTGGATTGCGGAGTGATTTTCTAAGTGGTATTATTGTGGAAATATTAACTAATGCAGAAATCGGTACCTAAAAGTGGGGTACTGACATAACCAATATTTAAAATATTTGCCAGTGGCTTTGGAATTGAGTGACAGAGAGCAAAGAAACTTATAGAATAGGCCGAAAAAAATATTATGTAGTGGCAAAACATTTGGTAAGACTGTCACCTGTGGTTACGCTGAAGAAATAAAATAAATAACTACTGAAATGCCAGCTTTGGAGAAGGAGCTTTTGAAGCAGAAAGTTGAAAATGTGCTGATTGTTATGAGCTGCATTTCATAAGGTCCTGCGCTATTGAGAGGAGCTCAGAAAAGAACTCACAGGTCAACAAGAATAAGTGATCGTTGTTTTAAGCCCCTGAGTTGTGGGTGGTTGGTTACACAGCATTATTGTGGCAACACTTAGCAGCTAAGAGACTTAAAATATATGTTAGTTTTACTTCAACAGCCCCACTTTTTTTCCTCATATAAATATGGGCAAATCTCTATGCTGGTTGTTATGAAGAAGACAGAGAAAAATCATTTATTTTATAGAATTATTGGTATTTATAGGTAATTAAATTTTATTTTCAGGTAAATTAGTTTAAAATATTACATTTAATAAAAAGATGGTTAATAATTTTTAAATATAAATGTTTTATAAATATGAACCATATTATAAATATATTTATTTATATATAATAAATATATTTTATAATATAGACAGATTCTGGCATCTTAACTATAAGAGATATTTAAAATAGTAAAGGGCTGATGACAATTCTGAGCAACTCAACAATTACGTTATGTTATGCTTACTAGTTTTGCCTCTTAGTGAGAGAATAATATATATTCTTGTATTTATTTTAATTGCTGGTAAATGCATCACTAACCAAGTTAAGATACTCCAGAGTTGAACTGAACCAATATGGCCAGAGTGATTAATTTGGTTTAAATCACTACTGGAGTCTTAATTCTAGGAAGAGACCTCATAAATTCTAGCACAGTACAAGCCAGCAAGGTTGCAGTGCCAGTGTTAATGTTTATGCCTGTGTCCTGGCTCAGTACATTATCCCTAAATGAAGACCAACCAAAAACAGTCCAAACAAGAGATGGGCTGCCAGAGGAGATTTTCAGCATTAATAATAACTTGTACATATTTATTCACCTCAGTTGTCTGATTGAGGAAGACTAATCTGTAAAGGGCACCTTGCACACAGTGCTACTGTGGGATTGCAATAAAGTAAGAATATGAACATAATTATTATGTTACCAAAAAGTTCACTATTTGACAGAAACAAGAACAAAGGCTACACCTTATATTTCTATGGAGACATTTTGTGCACTATTTCCGTTTGTTTTTCTCCCTCCTTTCCTTGGGTACCCTATCCCTCCTAAAGAAAAATAAAAGTGCAACATGTACACAGACCAGAACAGGAATGAAAAACTCTCACTGTTATTATGAGCCCATGTAATAAAGCTCAAATTTCAACTGTGTCAAACATTCCAAGTTTATCTTAAATATTTAAAAATATTTGCTCAGCTTCCTTATCCAAACATATCCAAAAGCGTAATCCAGTAAAATGATTGCCTGTTCTTCAGTGAACTTTCCAGTTTGAGTCACGAACCTCGTGAACTAGATACATGGACACATTACTACATGCCATAGATTTCTTTCTTTCTTTTGTAATCAGGAAAAAATAGTCTGCTTCCATTGCTTAACTTGTGTTTTTATTGTCTATGATAACCAGATCTTTGGCTGTACTTTCTTTAAAAATATAAAATTTCCTAGAATTAAAAACTTTTAAAAACTTTCTGTAAGAGAGGTTTATTATTTTTATTTCATTTTTGTTTTGTTTGCTGGAAAATGGGATATATTAAAGCGTATTATTTTTTAAGGACTCATTTTAATTTGTTGGGTGGTGGCTGAGCTAAAATATGTGTTGTTAATATAAAATAAGAAAAGTCAGGAGACATATCTGTATCTATGAGAGTAGGCATTAGTGAGAGTAAACAGAATGGACTTCTAGAGTAGAATTTGATTCTGTAGCATTCTGTTTGTGTGATAAAAATTCCTCCTTAATACATTCCAGATCAATCAAGATATTAAAGCCAAGGTTATTTGCATCCATCAAATGTAATCACACCCACTGGCATCAGGGCTATGGAATTCTGGGCTTCACTTGCCCTGGGAGTTCAAAGGCTGTAGCAATAACCCATTAGCATATTTCCCACAGACAGGGTAGTGGAATGATTGAATATTTAACCAATGCCAAACATCACAATGCACCTCCTCTACTTGAGAATTGAACCTGTCAGCTCCTAAATTGTTTGCATTTTCAAGCAGTTAACACAGTTTACCATCTGAAAACCATCACATCACCCCTATTTCTATAGCAAATTGCTTCATAAATGTTAAGTTAAAGGATAATGTTATACTTCCAACCATAATTGGCAGACTGAGATAATTTGTTCCATGTATATTTTATCACTGACTTAAGAGGGAATAGCAAAGGGAAGAGTAGGAACCACTGCTCACATTTTTGGCATAAAATAATAGCTGCTTTTTCTTAAGTAGATGAATCAAAAAAACCACAAAACTTGCACTTATTTATTGTGAGTCTGATGTTACCTCATCAAGAGAAACTGATCAGGTTTCTATGGTATTTCACATCTACAAACCATGGCATTATTTCCACCAGCTGTTAATGCTGCTACTAAAATTAGGGCCAGGAGCTCCACAGCTTAAGCAACTTAAGTGGGTTTGGAAATAACATTTGTTCACGCTCTGTTTATATGCTTTTGGTTTTTCATAAGTACAGTATGTTAGAGGAGCTCATCGTGAAATTCATTTCTACGTAATTAGAGTAGCCAAGTTCAAGGAGTATGGTGCCTGTTTGAGATTTCTCAGTTTCACTTTACTGGGTTGGAATGCCCTGTCCCAGTTTGGCTCAGACATGATATTTCCTCTAGACTAGAGTTGTAAAGAAAGCAATTTAAAATGCATAAGCACAGTGCCTGAGTCATACCATATATCAACCACCCAGCAGGATATTCACACTAAAGCATTGTCTCACTTCCTAATTGCTAAAGGAAAGTCCCTACTCCCTTCCCAACTATTTAATATTCATGTGAATTTGTATCAACTGTGTCCAGGCAGAATGAAAAGCTACATATTAGAGCATCATAGAATAACTTGAAATTCACAGGACCAGATTTTCCCCAGAACAAACTTTTCAAATTGAAGAATCAAGGATTCTTATTTTACCTTAATTTTTCCTGGAAAAAAAAAAAGCCAGAACTAGATGTCAGGAAGCTTGAGTTGTAGCCTTTGCTCAACCACTAAATAATTAGATAATTCAACCAACATGTATTTATACTTATTAAGGGTTTTTCATAGTGGTAGATGTCAGAATCGAGGAAATTCATGCTTTTACAAAATTCATAGCCTGGTGGTGGGAACTAATTGGATAATTCATTTTGGTAACACTTTACCAGTCTAACTTCTCAAAAGGCGACACACAAGGCAAATACATGAAAAAAATGCTCAGCATCATTAGTCATCAGAGACATGCAAATCAAAACCATAATGAGAGATACCATCTCATATCAGTCAGAATGGCTATTATTAAAAAGTCAAAAAACAGATACTGGCAAGGCTGTGGAGAAAATGGAATACTTATACACTATTGGTGTGAATGTAAATTAGTTCAGCCACTGTGGAAAGTAGTTTAGAAATTTTTCAAAGAACTAAAAAATAGAACTACCTTTGACCCAGCAATCCCATTACTGGGTATATAACCAAAAGAAAACAAATCATTCTATCAAAAAGACACATGCACTCACATGCTCTTGGCAGCACTATTCACAATAACAAAGACATGGAACCAACCTAGGGGCTCATCAATGTTGGATTGAACAAACAAAATGTGATACATATACATCATGGAATACTTCGCAGCCATAAAAAAGAATAAAATCACATCCTTTGCAGCAACATGGATGCAGATAGAGGCCATCATCCTAAGCAAACTAAAGCAGAAATAGAGAACCAAATACTGTATGCTCTCATTAAAAGTGGGAGCTAAACATTGGGTACTCATGGACATAAAGGAGGGAGGGATAGGAGCAAGGGTTGTGAAACTAACTATCTGGTACTATGCTCAGTACCTGAATGATGGGATCATTTGTACCTCAAACTTCAGCATCACTCAGTATATTCACGTAACAAACTGTACATTTACTCCTTGAATGTAAAATAAAAGTTTTTGTTTTTTTTTTTAAAGTACTTTACCAGTCTACACACCTCATCTGTAAGATGGAAGAGTTGGAGCAGGTGATATTTTTAACCATAATTTTATGATTTTATGTTAAAAAAATGTATCTCACAAGTCAACATGTTTTCAAAATGTACCATGTGCCAAGCACTGTGCATTTCACTTTACAGGCTTGTTCTCGCTTAATCCCCACATGAGCACCATGAGGTTAGGTGCTAATGCAGAGATGCTATGTGACTGGTTTGAGGTGGCACATCTGGTAAATGGCAGATACAGAACTGGAACGCCAGTCTGTCTGCCTTCAAAAGCCGTGCACTTGCAACTAATGTAAACTACCTCAAAATAAGAGTCAACTAAGAGTACCCATTAGAAATATGATTAAGATGGAATTATAGCCTACACAATAAAAAGTCATGACACATTTTCAAGGTGAAACCAATGTGTTGAGAGGAAGATTGGGAGGAAGATTGAATTTCTAGATCAAGTCTGTTTAGAGATTAAGTGCAGTTATGTGCTATTATATTCCATAATTTATGTTTTTCTTGCAGAATAAAAATCAAGAGAGGAACGTGAGCTGGAACATGGTGTTTGGGAATAATAAAACATGCTATTTGTCTGTGTGCATTTACTGCTGGCTGGTTGAAGTAGAAACCGTTTAGCAGTCCACAGAGCAGCAGCATGATATCACGGAAGGAGCTTGGTCTGGGGACCCGATTCTTGCCAATGACACTGCATGGCATGGGGAACTCATTTCCTCGAACTGGGATTTGGCGCTCCTATCTGTAAAATGAGGGTGATGGATCTGGTCCAGTTTTTAGTTTGTGTGATTGTTTCCAAAAGAATTAAGCTCCATGATACCAATAGTCTGACTTAGACGTAGAAAGCCCAATATCCTTTATATACATCTATTGATTAGCCTTTGTTTTCTGTTAGAAATATTTTCCTTTCCTTAACCCTTGCCCAACACACACACATACTTTTCTGTCACCACCCTCCCACCCCCTGGAATCCCGCATCGCCTTCCTAATTCCTACTCATTTTTCAGCTCTTAATTTAGAAATCACTTTGTTAAGGAAGCTTTCACTGACTTCTAAAGTCTTAGTTAAGTGTCCTCTTCCTGACTTCTATGAAAGTACTCTGTACTTCCTCTGTTACTGAGTTGTATTCAATTGGATAATACATGTGCAGTGCTTGGAACCAGGCCTGGGACATAAAAGTACTCAATAACTATTAACTATTAACTTATCATCATTGTCACCATCATCATTATAATTGTTAAACTTATCACACTATGTTATATTAGTCTTTTTGATTATCTGTATCACCTACTAGGTGTTACCTTTGGAAGGCAGGAACCATTACAGTCTTGACTTACTGTTACATCATCAGCAACTTAGCACAGTGATTGACAAGAATAAGTGAATATTTTAAAACTGGCTAATGTTAAACAACACATCATCACAATTTGCAGAAGGAGACTTTCATTCATGCAGCAAAGTAAGTCAAGCCTTTGAGCACTTATATTCTAGTGGAATAGACTGATACATGCAATTTAAAATAATCTGATGTTATGAGGGCTGTGATGAAGTTATGAACGAAGTTTTGTGGAGATATAGAAAGAGAAGTAATTAATCTTGCCTGAGGGATTGAAGTATGCAACATTTGAGTCGAGACTTGAAGAATGGGAGTCGGGGAGTGCTGGGGGAGGGATTTAACGTCTATGCTCTGTGTTTTTCAAAAATACAGTACTGTTCAAAAAATATGAAATGCTTCATGAATTTGCTTTGTGACCTTGAGCAATCAGTGTACCTCTCTTTGCCTTGTTACTTTGCCTGTACAATAGCAATAATAATAACATCTTATTAATAATATAGCTATGTAAAATATTATATAATTCTAATTCAATAACTATAATTATAGTAATTCTAATTCAATGCAGTAGGACTTAGAGAATATAAATATATATAGTGCCTGGCTTCTAAGTTGGAAATTCTCACTTAATGTTGCCATTACATTGTTTGTATACTCTTTATAACTTATTCCATGGTATCCAAATTGCCTGGTACAGTGTCATAGACAAAATTGAAGCGTTTCTTAAAAAGATATATTTAAATGTGAATATGTGATAATAATATTATAATGTAATATAATAATGTAAGTGATATTAAATAATTAAAAATACTTTGTGAATAAGGATAGACAACTAAACGCAAAATAAAATATTCTTTGATTTGTGATGGTTTAAATGCAGGTATATTTAAAAGCATAAAGCTAAGCTCTGGAAGTCCTTTGCAGGGCTATAATTTCATAATAGCAAAGGAAATGTTCCCGGTTTTGAGACTAATGCATGTAAATTTTCTATTAAGTTATATGTAGAGTAAGAGAGTTAGGTAGACATATACTGTAATTCAGATTTGCCTACTTACAGATGGTAACGTTCTGTGCAATAATAATGCTCCCAAAACCATTTGCAAATTTGTCCAGCAACAACTCTGCTTTTAATGATGAAGTTTCCACAGTGGCAGATGGCAGAGTGAGCAGTGAAGGATGCTGCCGACCCACCAGGGTTATGTCTGTCACTGAAGCGATCTGGCTCCAAAAGCCAAAGTCTGTTGAGGTCATACTGGCTATTGCTCCATTGGAATGACTTGATTGATCACATTTTTGGTTATTCTATAAATGATGACCTTATAGAAGGGATCCTTACAGTTTCATCCTGCTTTAAGAAATTGATATAGAGAAACACAGTGTCTGCAGTTTACAGACATACTGTAACATATTATAGAAACAAAGGGACAATTTCTGAAACTTAAAAAGACAGTTTACTTATTTTGCTGCTCCCTCCTTGTGTCTGAATGCTTAGGTAACCATACAGAAACAGAAATACTTTAAATATTTATGTCACATTTAAGAATGGAAAAGGAAACCAGAACAAGAGAAGAAAATATATTATTTAATAAATTTAAAAATCCAGCAAGGATTACTGTTTTAATGAGAGCATATAAATATAAATAGAGATCCAATGATTCTCTGAGCACCTAAAATTGGCAGATAGTGTGGATAAAAGAAAATAAACAAATAAACTTCAGTGCCCAAGTGAACCCCTGCTATACTTTGAAAAAAATCATGTACTCTTCCAGGGAAGTTGAATATACACAGTATGGCTCATGAAGTATATTATATTGAAATTGACAATTTCCATTAATATTGTGATATTTTGAACTTAGGTATTTTGTAGTGAGATAGTGTACCTTTCAAAATTGAATTTACTGTCAGAACATGCCTTAGGCACTAGAAGGAGCAGAGTGTAACTATCCGCCCTTTTAAAGGGTAACATAGAAAAATTACACAAGAATATTAATTATCTTGTGTTACTTACTAAGAAACATAGCTCCTGTGAGTAAAGTTACACATTAATAGTAGTAACAACAATAGTAAAATCACTTACAATTTCTTGCTTCTTGTCAGAAACTTCTAAGTGCTTTAAATACCTTCTCTCTCATTTTTATGTTAACCAAGAGACTTAGTTACAAATTCCATGAGGAGGGGTCAAGCCAGTGACAGGCTGAGGCAGTGAGAATTTTTCAGGGATTTTGCAAGCGATTTGTCAAACATGGCCAGTATTAAAAATTAAATCGTGTAGACTCACTTACAATTAAATATGTTATATTAAAAAAAGATAATAATTACTGAAAACTCATTACATCCTAATGACTTTCTTACATTTTACTATTATCTATATTCTTGAGGGGTTTTTACATCTACCATATACATATGACACTCCATACAATGGTGTGCTATTATGTATTTCTTCCCAACTCCATATTTTGGTGATGCTATGAAAGTAGCTTGAAATCAGCCATAGCAGGAGTATTTATACCATGGAAATTGGCAGGTGGTGTAAATCAGGGCTCTCCTTCCCCAGCAGGTCAGTTTAAACATTTATCAATGCACTGCTGTGTGAGACATGTCTTTCTGACTTCAAGGCACATTGTCCAGCTGCTGTCTTCTTTTGATGGTTTAAAGCATGAGTTTTAAATGATCACTATTGACTTTGAGAGAGGAACTATGAGCATGTGTTTAAGTTTTTGATGGAGAGATAGTCCAGAGCTTCTATTAGATTCTCTGACACTCCATGACCTAAAAGAAAAATCTGATAGGAAACAAAACAAAACTGATAGAAAGCCATATTTATAGGAAAAATTCTAGATCTTGTGAAAGCCTTATTTTTCTATGAAATAAAGAGATTGAGCAGCTTGCATTAGACATGTTCTTAAATTATGCCCCCCCAGTGTAGCCAGAAAATGTCCCTTATGTACATATTTTACTGAGTAAAACCTACTTCACTTGCTCTTTCCTCACTACTTCCAAATAAATAAGGTTCCAAATGTACCAAATAAACCCCAGAGATACATTTGAATTTCAGGTATATAATATTTGATACGTAATAATTCTAAAATATTATATCTCCTTAAACTGAAATCCAAGTTGAATGAGGCATCCTGTGTTTAATCTGGAAATTCTACTTCCAAAGGCCTTCATTTTTTATTATTCCATCCTCCTTTTCTTTGCAGTCAACAAAAGCCTATTGGATTAATGAACCATAGTCTGGCTTTTATATTAATTATGTGAATAAGATTTAGTTATGTCTGCATTAAATTCTAGCTCTATTACTTTGTATTTTTGATTTGGGGTAAATTATTTAATTTCCCCAAGTCTCTGTTTTCTTGCCATAAAATAGGCTTTCTTAAGATTGTAAATAGGACTAAGTAAAATAATACATACAAAAAGATTAGTGTAGTGTCCGCCAGCTAGCAAGCCTTCAATACATGTTAGCTTTGCTGATGATGATGATGATGATATCATTACCATACTTTCATTGTCATAGACTTGTAGCCCTCTGGATTATCAATGACTTGATCTCACTTTTCTTTCTGCTCACATGTATCCCCTTTCTGGCTTTTCTGAAATAAAACATCATAACTAATATAACCAGTCCCATACATCACCATCCAGGGAACCTCAAACCTTTACCAGATTTTATTTCCTGGTTTTTATGTGGATGTGGCTGAAACATGCTCATTTATGCTGAGGGATTAGAGTCAACCCAACAATAACTATGCTAGCACTGGCCAGAGAGGTGGCTAGTGAGGAGGCTAATAATAACACTTCATTGAGTTTGAATTCCGCCAAAAACTTATGCTAGGGCCTTTTGTATATGTTCTTCATTTAATCCTCATAGTTCTATAAGTATTATTAGTGACATTTTATAGATAAGAAAAAGGAGAACCTTGTAGGTTAAAAAAAAGGGGGAAGGGAAGAAGTTTGGACTTGGGCTTTTGATATAGTTTAGATATTTGTCCCCACCCAAATCTCATGCTGAATTGTAATCGCTAATACTGGAGGTGGGGCCTGGTGAGAGGTGTTTGGATCATGTGGATCCGTTATGGCTTGGTGCTGTCTTTGTGATATTGAGTTAGTTCTTGGGAGACCTGGTAATTTAAAAGTGTGTGTCACCGCCCCACTACTCTCTTGTTCTCCCAGCTGTTTTTGCCATATGAAGTGCCTGCTCCTGCTTCACCTTCCGTCATGACTGTAAGGATCCTGAGGCCTCCCCAGGAGCAGATGTCAGCATGATGCTTCCTGTAGTCTGCAGAACTGTGAGCCAATTAACCTCTTTTTAAAAATAAATTACCTAGTCTCAGATATTTCTTTATAGAAATGCAAGAACAGCCTTACACAATATTGGTAGGAAATTTCCCATGCATAGATAACTATAATACCTTGTGTTGGTGTAGGTATTATTAAAGCTTTTATTTTCCTCTTAGAATGCTCATATACTATCTCACTTAATCTTACAATCATTCCGTAACTGAGGAAAAGTAGAGCACTGTTGTCTCCATTATATAGGTAAGGAAACTGAGACATTGGTAAGCTAAGTGTGTTTCCTGGAACTATGTCATCGTTAGACTTCTTACTACAACTAAATGCTCCAGTCTAATGCCCTCAGTTTTTCCTAGGATATCAACAAGGGCAAATAGCTTTGATCACATGTAAAAATGCTGATCAATTGTTATGGGCTACCTGGAGACCCACTTTACTAAAAATTCTGAGGCCTTGTCTAGAGCTATAATTTTCTTCTCTATATGAATACGTGGAAATAATACACATATAATGGGAAAGACCACAGGGCGGGAAATCAAGACACTACATTCTTGTTATAACAATGTGTCAATATGGCCAACTTCCTTCATGCCTCAGGTGATTTTCTTTTCCTTGTCTATTAGTTAAAAAATGGGAAGAAATGTTTCATTGGTTTATTTATCAAAGTCCTTCCATGTCAAATTACATCAAACCCATAGACTGTAGACCTCCATTTTTACTCCAATAATCTAGGGTTTAGTCTCTTTACAGATACACCTTGGAGATATTGCGGGTTAGGTTCCAGACCACTGAATAAAAGTGAGTATTGCAATAAAGTCAGTCACACAGTTTTTTCTGGTTACCCAGTGCATGTAAAAGTTATGTTTACACTATACTGTAGTCTGTTAAGTATGCAGTGACATTATGCATAACAATTTACATATATTAATTTTAAAATATTTATTGGCATACAGAGTGATATAATAAACTTTGAAGACTCAGAAGAGGACAGAGGATGGGAGGGGTGTAAGAGATTTAAAAATAATATATTGGGTACAATGCACACTACTTTTGGTAATGGGTGCACTAAAATCTCAGACTTTACCACTGTACAATTCATCCATGTAACCAAAATCCACTTGTATTCTAAGAGCTGTTGAAATAAAAAAAATATATATGAGAGCTAATTAATTAGTTTAACTAAAAGGCAAAAAGAGAACATTTAAAAATATTAATATTTTATTGCTAAAAATTGCTGACAATCATCTGAGCCTTCAGCAAGTTATCTTTTTGCTGGTGGAGGGTCTTGCCTTAATGTTGATGGCTGCTGATTGGGCAGGGTGGCGTTTGCTGAAGGTTGGGGTGGCTGCAGCAGTTTCTTAAGACAACAATGAAATTAGCACATAGATTAACTCTTCTGTTTTACAAAAGATTTCTCTGTAGCATGCAATGCTATATGATAACATTTTAACCCCTGAAAAACCTCTTTCAAAATTGAAGTCAATCCTCTCACATTCTGATGCTGCAGTATTAACTAAGCTTATATGATATTCTAAATCCTTTGTTGTCATTTCAGCGATATTCATAGTATCTTCACCAGGAGTAGAGTCCATCTCAAGGAGCAATTTTCTTTGCTCATCCATAAGAATTAAATCCTCATCCATTTAAGCTGTATCATGAGATTGCTGTAATTCAGCCACATCTTCAGGCTGCACTTCCAATTCTAGTTTCTCTTGCTGTTTTTTCACCACGTCTGTATTCACTTCCCCCAGTGAAGTCTTGAACCCCTCAAAATCATGTATAAGGATTAGAATCAACTTCTTCCAATCTCCTGTTAACTTTGATATTTTGATCTCCTCCCATGAATCACAAATGGTTTTATTGGTATCTAGAAAGATGACTACTTTTCAGAAGGTTTTCAATTTAATTTGCCCAGGACTATCAGAGGAATCACTATCTATGGCAACTAGAGCCTTGCAAAATGTATTTCTTAAAGTATAAGAATTAAAAGTAGAAATTACTCCTTGATCACGGGATGCAGGATGGATGTTGTGTTAGCACACATGGAAACAACATTCATCTCCTTGTACCTCTCCATCAGAACTTTGGGTGACTAGGTACGTTGCCAATGAACAGTAATATTTGAAATGAATCCTTTTTTAGAGAGTTAGAATCTTATTCTGAATAAGCCATTGGCTTAAGGAAATGTGGCTGGTTTAATGTTCTATTCAGATCACTAGAACTTCCTGTATATCAGCAATAAAGCTGCTTCACTTTCTTATCATTTGTGATTTCACTGATGTAGCACTTTTAATTTTCTTCAAGAGCTTTTCCTTTGCATTCCCTTCTTAGCTATTTGGTGCAAAACACCCAGCTTTCAGTCTTTCTCAGCTTTTCACATGCCTTCCTCACTAAGCTTAATTATTTCTCAGCTTTAAAAGTGAGATATGTGACTTTTTCTTTTACTTGAACACTTGGAGACCATTGTAGAGTTGTTAACTGGCCTAAATTCAATATTGTTGTGTCTCAGGGAATATGAAGACCCAATGAGAGGAAAAGAGATGGGGGAAGGGCTGGTTGGTGGAGCAGTCAGAACACATATTTTTGTTGATTAATTTTGCTATCATATATGGATGCAGTTCATGGAGCCCAAAACAATTGCAATAGTGACATCAAAGATCACTCTTCACAGGTCATCATAACAGACAAAATTGTAATGAAATGTTTGAAATGTAGTGAGAATTACCAAAATGTGACATTGTGACACTAAGTGAGCACATGCTGTTGGAAACAAACAAACAAATAAACAAACAAAAAAAACTTGCTCAATGGAGGGTTTTCCAAAAATTCAGTAACTGCAAAACATAATAAAGTGAAGCACAATAAAATGAGATATGCCTGTATATGGAGATTATTGTAGTCACAAATATTATTTTGCCCTTAATATTTCCTCCCAGTTTTCTATATTATGTGCTTACATACACACTTTTTCTCTGTATCATAAAGAATATCATTTTTGCTGCCCTACAGTTTAACCTCTAGGAATAATTTCCCATTAACTAATTTTGTATGATTAATGTATTTGCTGAAATATTTTAAAATCTCAGTTCAACTATTCAGTCTGACATTTATGGACACTAAAGAATATATTCTCTCTCTCTCTCACACACACACAGACTGCTCCTTGAAGTCAAGGATTATATTAGATTTATGGTTGCATATATGACAGTATTTAACAAAGACTGTGGCATATAGTAATTGACAAATATTCTTAATAGAGTGGAACTGAATACATATGAATGTATGTAATATCTGTATATGCTAAATATATAGAGAGATATAGTATATGTATATAGAATCCTTATATATCTTTGTGCATTCAAATACTTTACTGTCAAAGACACTCATAAAATAGGAATATGGCATAGTGGTTAAAAGGATGGGATATAATAAACCTGGACTCAGATTCCTCTGTCATTTAGGACCTGTGTGACTTCTGGATAAATTATTTGACTCTTATAAATTTCAGTTTTCTCAGGTTTAAGATGAGGAGAATAAAATAGTACCTACATCCTACTGTTGTGATGCTTAAGGGAGATAAAGTATATGTTGTACTTAGCATAGTATCTTGCACAAAATAAATAATTAATATTCACTAATATTGTAATTAACAAAAAAGGCATGTAACGACTATTAATATTGCCATTATTACAAAAAGAGGGTGAATTTTTGAAGTTTCTCTAAATAATTCTTCTTTAAAGATAAGTAAAAAATATTAACAGGTGTCCAAAAACTACTTGTGTGAAATTTACATATATGTTGAATTTAAAAAAATTATCTTATTAAATTCTCACAATTGTGAGGTAACTATTATGTCCATTTTACAAGGAAATGATGAAACTTAAAGTTACACAGCTGCTAATCACAGTTGCAGTTGCTAAACACAAATCTAAACTATGATATATTAAGTTCTATAATAGATACATATAATCTTATACTAATTAGGTGACCAAGGAATTCACTATGGGTGATGAGAGTACAGTTTGAATTATTGAAAACTAGAGGCAATAATCTCAAGTATTCTCCCTTGAAATTGTGTGAATGTGAAGCAAAACCAGAGGAAGAGGAAGCAGCAGTAGGAAGATATATATGCCACAATCACACCATTCGCAGAATACTAATACGGATTATTCCAAAATTGTCACTCTAAACACGACCCCTCTCTCCAAATCCCTAAAAATTAAAAACCTTCAGGAACTGCCTATTTCCCCCAAATAGATTAAAGAGGCATATGACACGTATAAGACAACTCTGGAAATTATGGCAAGCCTGTCATTATGGCTGTTCTTTGTAGCTTTCAGTAAGTCTAGGACCTATATCTAGAAAGTGGAAAATGAAAAAATATGGAATATTTTAATTTGCTGATAATGGGAATCTGATTACCCAGAAACAACAAGTGACACATTGTTAATGGGGTTATCCTCCCAACAATCCAGGGGCATACAAATAATCTTATGAGGGTGAAGGGGTTATATGTCGGAAGAACACATATCTCTATTCAGCCATACAAAGTGCAACTCACCTTAAAAAAAAAATCCTCAAAGTAAGCCACTGAAATTAAAACTTGAAATATTCAAATACATATATCGCTTTTAAAAATTGAGAATATGTAGTAGTTCCTCTGCTGTAAGATTTGTATGGAAGAATCATAATAGCTTCTCTAAGTAGCTGATGTTGACTTTAATCATTCATTTAACAAATCTTTATTCGAGCAACAATCATAAGCCAAGCATAGTTTTAGGTGTTGGAATACACTAACAAAACAGGCCAAGTTTCTGCTTTTGTGGAACTTTAATTTTAATTGCAGAACCAGAAAATCAGTAAATCAGTAAATGCATAACATAAAAAATGGTGCAAAGGGGTAGGAGGAAAAGTAAAGCAGGGTAAAGCGGGAGAGAGTGCTGGATTTTGTAAAAGAAGTAGTTGATAATTTGCAATGTGTGGTCAGGGAAGGTCTCTCTGATGAAGAGATATTTAAACAGAAACTTGAAAGAAGGGGGATGGAGTAAAGCATAGTGATGTCAGGAGGAGTATGGCAGGCAGAGGGAGCAGCAGGTGCAAGGCCCTGAGACAGTAGTGTGCTCATCTGTGTCCAAATGCAGCAAGAAGACAAAAGTGATTGGAACAGAATATAGGACATGAGAACTAAAAAAAAAAAAAAATGCTTTTTTGGACACTCAGTTTTAAAATATGTAATTTTCTATTGGTCTTCTTATGAAACAAAATGATGAATTGTGTTAGTTCTACAACTGGGGACATTTTAGGAAATCTTTGCTCTTATCAAGCTTATCTTCCTCACAGTTGTGTAATGAGGAGTCTGAATCAATGACAAAAGGCTGGCCAGAGTCATTATGTGGCAAGCAATTATGGCTGTTTTCTTGTTACAACGTTGTAATTTAAATATTCTTTTTACAATGTTAGACAATAATCTCCAATGGCTATATCTTTTGTTTACAAAAATTTATGTCTCAATTAGAATAATTATAATGCCATTAAGAGAAAATTTGTATTGAGAAATTTTCAAAGAGTCCACGTAAATTGATATTTGAGGTAGTTCATAATCTATACATACAAGCTTAGACATGTATTTCAACTCTTCACTTCTTATTTCAGTCAATGACCAACGCTTCTTATGACTTGTAAGAAACTGAGTGAAATATTCTTTCAATTGACTATCCATGACTATGTCATTTTCCTAATTCATGAGAGAGGTTTTTGTTTTTATAAATCATGAAAGTTTCATAAATGACAAACTCACACAAATGATAATATTTTTTGCTTCAATTGCCTCAGTGTTTGATAATTCAAGTACCAGAATCCTTTGAAAAATGTTATATAGCCGGGCGCTGTGGCTCACGCCTGTAATCCCAGCACTTTGGGAGGCTGAGGCAGGCAGATAACTTGAGGTCAGAAGTTTGAGACCAACCTGACCAACATGGTGAAACCCCATCCCTACTAAAAATACAAAAATTACCCAGGTGTGGCGGCAGGTGCACCTACAATCTCAGCTACTTAGGAGGTTGAGGCAGGAGAATCCCTTGAACCTGGGAGGCAGAGGTGGCAGTGAGCCGAGATCATGCCCCTGCACTCTAGCCTGGGTAACAGAGTGAGATTCCGTCTCAAAAAAAAAAAAAAAAAAAAAAAAGGATTGGGACCTTTTCTTTCTTTCTTTTTTTTTTTTTTTGACTGATAATTTAAAATGATCTTTAATTTTGAACTTATTTGATATTTAAGAACTTTCTTATAGGTATTTTCATTATGTTTTGTAATTTAGATGATAGAAATGAATGATGAGTTAAGAAACAGGCAAGAAATTGTAAATGGATTGAACATATTTATGGGAAAAAAATGGTATGTTTTCATGTTATTTCTTTTTTTCTGGTTTTTATGTTTTTTTTTATTATTATACTTTAAGTTATAGGGTGCATGTGCACAATGTGCAGGTTGGGGCCTTTTCTTACAGAGGAAATAAAGATTCCAGAAAGAATGGAACTATGCAATATTGTCTATTGAGTATTTGTTTTTCTCTGATGATTTTCTTATTATAGGAATCTATGTGCATACATTTTAATAATAAATAAATAACTGTCTTGATTTCCAAATTAGCATGGTGTGACAAAAAAATGCTACTGATTGTGCTCCAGAACAATGAAAAATACTTAGCAGTCATGGGGCCACGTTATTACAATAAAAGCTTCTTTTTGACCATGAGGTGACTACTTATCTGTTCAATTCTGACCACCTGCCTTAAGAAAGAATGAAAGGCACCAGCAGAAAACAGATCAGATGGCAGAATTTGGGAAAAAGCCAGTTTGCAGAATGTGAGATTCTACTGAATATATTATCAAAAGGTCCCATATTGAACTTTTCTGAGCATGTAGAGATGGTGATGGTAGTTAACTCCAGCAACTTGGTTCAAGATTAACCACTGGTTATTATTTCAGTGAGATTGCATAAACCTCCTTCTTAGTTTAGTGGGCATTCTCAAGAAACTCCCCAAAAAAATCAGACATCAAAAATTCAGATTTTGATAAGGAAGAGGTCTCCCACAGGTGTTAGCTTAAAAAACCACAAAGCATTTCATCCATTATAGCATTCAACTTGATCCCACCCATTAGATTCCCTAAGTTCCAATTTGTATGTGGGCTTATAAAATAAGAACCTTGCTTAAAGGTTTATTTTTTTTAAGCCAAGTTTTAAGGACTATGGGGATCTAACTTAGCCATCAAAATTTTCATAAGAAGTTCTTCTTAGATAAAACTATTAGATAATTTCTGGAAAAGGTAAAGATCTTAGCTTCCAATTTGTTTAAATGGGGTTGAAGGAAAGGAGAATTTTTTGACATTCATTAGGAATCTAAATGTACCAAAGAGGGTAGTAAAATACATTTTATTGAAGCTCATTTAGATTGGAAGCAGAGGAACATCTGTAACTACTCTGAAGGGGACCCTGGAAGAACTTTTTATGAGTAAACTGGGATTGTTGCTTTTAATTATTCAAGTATATAGATTATTCAATAGTGTGTGTAAAGAGCTTATTTAGCTACCACCTCCAGGCCACATTACTGAAATACAAGAAGATATTTTTTCAGTTCACTTTTCTTGTGATCTGTATTTTAAAATACAATCTTGAAGGGAACTAAAGCAAGTGAAAGTGTAATTTTTGCTTGCAGAGATGACTTGCTGTGGAATCCCTTTGTAGATTTACTTTTGTGTGTGTAACATTTTGCAAGACTCAGTAATAGTTAAGTTGTATTGTTTTATACCGCATTCCAAAGGCATTTTCTTTTCCCTAAGAGCTACACGTATGTAATCTTGTTTAGGAATTATTCTGCAGGGATTTCTAAAGTTAAAGTAAGTATGGCAAGCAGTTCTCTGTCCACAAAATTATAGCTTAAACCATTTAAACTAAAATCTCACTAGGTATTTTGTTTTTGAGAATCCAACATGATGATTCCAATATTAAAAATAAAATGGCATCACCTCTAAGCTGTTACATTGCACAGGAGTTAACTATTACTACACATTTATTAATGCATCATTCTATGTTTGCTAAGTAAAAGTGGCTAGACCACAACTTATTGTTGGGTCAGCCCTTATCTGGTAGAGAACACGCTTAATGACTGAAAGGTCATCATACTTTACCCTTTTCATATTGAATATGTAAAAGCAGCATAGATAATGACACACATATTATTTAATTGCATTTCAAATGCCTATTTTTTGTTTTATTTTGTTGATTCATAGTAATAGGAGAATCATTCTAAAACTGCTGCTAAGCAGCAAAGCATCAGCATTTATTAAAAAAAAAAAAGAGGGGGTGGGGGGTTATTAAGATAAAAGGATTCTCATTCCAAAATGTAAGATTAAAAAAAATCTTGAATATAATTATTAAGCAGGAACTGAAAATGTCTCAAGTAACCAGTCCACACAAGAAATTGCTAAAATGGCATCAATCATTAGTGAAAACAACGTTTACTTTGTGTAACAATCTTAACATAACTTTTCTTTTTTTAACCCTGTTTAACTTGAGAATAACTTGACTTTCATGAAAATTCACTAAATTATGTCTTTCTGTCCACTCTGTTTTTAGTGCTAGAATGAGAAAAGATGAATTTTCAAAAGAATACACTTTAAATTGGTCACTATGGCATGGCAGATTTTATTATGGATGCCTACGTGCTCCTCAGAAAGACACTTCTCGACTCCCTGGGAAGAAAGCATATGACTGAATTTCAGTAGTTCAATTTTTACATTAAAATATGGCCAGTGAGGAGTTCCAATCTGTCAGGGAAAAGTGGCCATGCGGCCAGAGTTATCATTTTACTTTGGGGGTCTTATGTTTGCCAAGTGGTCAGCCAGCTGTCCAGGCTTTTAAAATGAGGAAACTAAAAAATCTGAGAAGTAAATTGCACTGGAATATTTAATATTCATTAAACCTGGGGGATTTTTAATAAAATTAAAAGAAAATTGCTGACTGAAATTTGAAATTTTCGTAAGTATTCCTTTACATTACATGAAAATAGGCAGAACATCTAATCCCCCATTGCTGTGAGCCTTGTAATGTGGTACAAAGAGGCTGGGTAAGAAGACTAATGGGCCTGACTTCAAAGTTTGCTGTTGCTATTGAGTTGTATAAACTTCTCTCTGAGCCTCAGTTTTATTATCTGTAAACTGGGAATAATAATACTTAACTCAAAAAAAGTGTTTGATTTACAGTAAGATACTCAGATTATCTGGTAGATAGAAAATAATAAATTACAGTTAACTATTTAAATGTACCTTAAAGGTAGAGCAGCTAGAGGCTGATTGAAAATCAATTGCTTTTACTTGTGAGCATATACCAAAAAGGTCATAATTTCAGAACATGTGTAGAATATCATTGCAGAATATTGATAAGGAAAATTATCAAAAGTAGGCCTTTTCATCTGAGTAAAGAGGTTAAAAATTAAGCCTTAAGATTAATGGCTCCAAATCAAAGAGGTTTTCTCAATAACAAGGTTAGATTTGTCTTCCTTACTTTCTTGGGGGAGCCGGGGGGAAGGCTGCAGGGGAAAGTGCCAGCCAGTCACGTTTGCGTGAGATAAATAATCAGTTGTGAGCTCAGTGTGTGATTCTCGTTAAAATCCAGACATTGGAAGAGCTCCCGAAACGCACTGCCACCACCACCACTACCAATCTCTTTTGCATCTCATTGGCATTTGAGGACGTTAATTGACTCATTATTGCAATTCATATTCAGGAAAGGAAGTTGATTAAGGAAGGCAGATGCAGTATCTCCAGACACAGTCATAGCTGTGTTGTTTGTCCCGGCAGTTTACTTGAGTTATTAGAATACTTAGAAAGCTACAGCCGGAGGGACAGGGAACATGTCCCACTAAGTGTTACCCTCCCAGAATAGATTTTTCCTAAAAATGATATAATTTTGAATAACCTTATCTTACCTTAAGGTCCCAATAAGCAAAGTTATTTCCTTAGCTCTTTTATACTAATAACAGCCATTTCGTTTATTTGAATTGCTCTTCAAGAAAATTGGTTTCTGATACTTGTATTGTACCAGGAAATATTTTTTAAGTAAATAAAAAGTATCTCCAGATTCCATTGAGTTACAGAACATTTATAAATTACCATCATATAAAATGTTATAAACAGTTTTTAATGGTTTCCTATATTGCAATTCTCAATTTTGATTAAGTAAGCTGTGATGAATTTATAGAGCAAATGTATTTCATTATTCATTTGAGTGGTTGCTTTCTTTTGTTATTTTGGTCATTTTTAAACAATTGAGCTAGTTCATATTTTTATGTCTAATATTGGATCCAGATAGATGCATACATAAATATATATTTGGATTAGATAAAAAAATTTCTATTTTAAAAATTTCAGTGAACAGTATTTCAAGTAGTTAGAGTATACTTACGAGTATTCTTCATAAATTACTCTCAGTAATTTGGCAAACACTTGATATTGTGAGGCCTGTTGAACCCAAAAAGTATAGTTCATTTGCTGTTCTTTACATTTTATTTTCTTAACAATTTTGAGAAAATTATATTTTTCTCTCCAACTTAGATATAAAATATTGTTTAGGCATTACTATAAATAGTTTCATTACCTAAAAAAACAGAATTTGTTTCATAAGATGTTTATCCCAAACAATTAATCTTCAAAAAAATCTTGCTTGGCATTAAGAATAGTCATTATTGCTATTTAATAATATCATTCCTTCTACTACCTATTGCTCAGAGTTAGTTAATTATACTGCTTTCACTTGATCTGTATTGATTAGACTGAAAGCATCAGAACAGGTGTAGAGTTAATACATTGTTTTCACATAAATGTATAGACCTACATGAAATAGAAATGAATGGAAGAGTTTGATATGTCTCCTTTATACTCTGGCCTGATAGCTTATTTCCTCCATGAATTAATTTCTTTGGACCTGACAGCAAATGAATCAAGGCTTACTTACCTCACATATTAGTTATTTTAAATGTTAACAACATTTCAAAGTACTTTTCTACAAAACTTCAGTTTAATTCAACAAAAATTTAATCAGCAATTATTATATATGTGCCAGGAATTTAAGAGTAGGTACAAGAGATCACAGATCAATAACATGTGAACCCTACTATTCAAGAGCTACTTACAGTCCAGTAGGAGGTCGTGGGTGGCATATAAATAATTCCATATGATACAAACCCTGATATAGATACTTCAACTGAAGAATAAGCTAAGGTAAATGAGAACTCCAAAAATGAGAAATTCACCAACAGACATTTTTAATACCTAAAAGTAAAACCAAGGAAAGATTTGTACCTGAAACTTGAAGGGTATATATGATTTTGATATGAGGAAAAGGGAAGTCATTCCAGGTGGGCGAAATACTATGAACAAATTCACAGAGGTACATGGTATGTCCTGGGAGTAATAAATAGTTCTGCATTATCAGAACATAGAGCAACTGAAAGGGAATGAAGAGATGGAGCTAAAAGACAGGCAAGAATCAGACTGGGAAGGTCTTCGAAAATATATTCAGGATCTTGGACTTTATTCTATAGATGACTAAGAGCTATAAAAGTTTTAGCAGGGCTAAGATGAACATGGAGCAGCGCGTGGTGACAAGACAGGTTACTTGAGCAGATAATGTCTCAGACAGCTAATCCTGGCCCAAGGCAGTATGATGAACCATTGAAAATGCATGTTGGGGAAAGTGATAAGAGTATGACACAAGTCTGAAGAGGTAATTAGCAGACCTAAAGGAGAGGCAGTGGGCATAGGAAATGGAGTATATGTGTTTGCAGGAATGGAGATACAGAATGCCATGTGGTAAGGAACTGGCTATTAAGTTTAAGAGGAGGATTGTTGGGGAAAAGAAAAAGAAGAACAAAATGAGGATAACTGAAAGATTCTTAGCTTTGATTATTAACTTTATAATTAATAAGAGAGGAAGAAAAGTAGAGAGAGAGAGAGAGAGAGAGAGAGATAAGAAACATAGTGAGAAACAAAAACAAGAGAAATTCAGCACAATATCCAGCAGGGCATTGTGAATAGGGTGGGAAGATCAGCATTAGGGCTAGAAATCTAGCTTAAGTGTCTCTCAAATAGAAATGAGAACTGAAGCTGTGGGAATAAATGAGGGCACCCATGAAGGTGATCATGCCATGAACAGAAGCTGGAGGATGAGACTTCACAAAATGCATGTGGTTTGGTAGAAGGAGAGGAGTCAGCAGAGGAGAGAGTCTTCCTGCTTCTATGACACTTTAGTTTATGGAGTCCTGGAAAATACAGCAAGCTTATAGATAAAGTAGTGTGAAAAAAGCGACCACAGAGACACAATTACAGGCAAAGTAAAGGCAAAAATCCCATTTTAAAATTCAATCATCTGTTCATTTCTTCAATTGTTTAACATTTACTGAGTATCTCTATAATGCTATGTCTCAAAATATACATGATGGTCCTAAAATTCCAGACTGTTCTTGGTAACCTCATGCAATCTGTTGATGATTTTCCACACTTTTTGTATTTTCATTTTAAAGATTAATACTTACTTCAGATTTTTCTCGTTATGTAAGAGTAATTATCATTATGACTATAGTAAAAATATCATTTGATACTTAAGTAACATTTTTATTTATTTAATCTTCCTAACGATCTTGTGAGATAGGACAAGCATTGCTGTTCTCATTTTACAGATAAGAAATGAAAGTACCAAACATAATATCTTACATGCACTAAGCACTCAATAAATATTTGTTGACTGAATTCTACAAAATGATTATTGCTAAAATGTTCTCAAAGAGATATACTGTATTTTTAAATTTAAGCATTTTTTCCCATGAAAAGACTCCTCTAAAACTAAAAAATAAATGTCAAGTGAGATAGTATCTACTTTATTTATGTCAAGCCAAAACATCCTGTCTCTTCTCCTCACCATCACTACATACTCTCCAACTGTACTTGCCCCAGCTCCAATTTAGATTTTACACCAAAGGGACATCCCTTCTACGTCTCAGAATTCTATCAGTCTCAGATAAAAATAACCCTTCAGTTGTTAGTTACCTTCAACTTTCATTTTTTTCCTGTTCCTACAGAAAATTTATACCAGTGAGTTTTGAGTATGATTACTCCTAATAAATTTTCTAGTATTCTCTTTCAGATCTTTGAAGTTAAAAATTCTATAATGACGCTTTCTGAAAGACACTGTTTGCCAGAATTGCCTAAAAACCTAATATTAAGGTAAATACCTGATGTCAACCCTTTGTTAAAGGATTCGCATTTCACGATGTATTTACAAGTCAGTCTGAAGAAAAATTATGTCAGTTATGATAGTTCCAATCAATCGGTAAAAGCTCCCTGGAACACTGGGTTAAGAAGCATTTTGAGGCTGTATCTGAGTTCAGTGGGAGAAAGCCCCACTAGAAATTGTCAGTGACTGTCAGGGACACAGAAACAGCGGGAGTAAATACATATGCTGAGTATTTTACTATCTTGTTCTAAAGGCAACTTGACCCAGATGATCCTGAGATCAGATTATGAGATTTCCAGATTGAGTAGTATGTTTAGCTCTCTTAAGAACAAGGTCAGGCCTAGTGCTAGGTGCCCCTCACCAAGAAAAGTTACCTTTTGTTAAGAAATCGGCATGTGATACTGAAAACGGCAGTTGATGCTTTAATCAAACGCAGAAGTAGATAACTGAGTCAATTCCTAATTGCATGTTTGCAAATACTTTTAACCTAAGTCTCAGACTTTTTTGCTTTAACCAGCTGACATTTATTGCAAAGGGAACTAATGGGAAATTAATTCAAATGAAAACTAAGCAATTGTTTCGAAATTGCAAAATAAATATCTCTCTAGGGGTTCTCCAGGGCTAGTGGGAAAGGGTGTTAGAAATATAAATTCCCATACATCAGCATAAACGAAGATAACCGAACATGACTGATTAGAATAATAGAGAAAACACTTGGGAGGGCTTCATGCACTTGGGCACATCCAAATGTTATTTTTGTCTGTTGAGTTTTTCCTAGCACTGAACATCTCTGTAGCCTGCTTTTTCTGCAAAGTGGATTGCTGGTCCCAGACACTAGATCATTCTCTCCAGGGCCAGAGTTGCCTCCGATTTAGGTGACTTACTCAAGGTCATTGAACATGAGGGGCAGAATAAAGGATATTTCAAAGGCTTTTGAGTTCCAGGCCGTTGCTTACCCACTGAACCTCACAGAGGAAAATGTAGAAAACTTGCAGATCTATTTATCTACATATTTTCTTTGGCTGAAACTATGAATTTAAAAGTGATACCTGCATTCATGTCATGGTCCATTCATTTCAAAGCAATTATAAAAAATTTTACTCAACCCCAGACAATTCATGTTGTTGTCATTATTCTGGGATTCTATAACTTGGCATAGAAAGACCTGTAGGTTCCATAGTGCGAAATGCAGCATGAAAATAGTTTGAAAGGGAGAACAACGATAAAATAAATCCGGTATTTTACATGTTTTGATGAAAGTGAATCATGGAAACTCTCCAGATTGCCCTAAAAAAAGTCACATTTATATCTTTCATCAGAAATTTTATACCACTATTTCCACCTAATATTTCAAATCTATTTGCTTTCCAGAATACCTGTCCTGACTTCCTGAATCTCCTGCAATGGAAATAGCACATCTATATAGCTAGTTTTCCAGTAACAATCAGAGTCCAACCAGAAAAATGGAAACCATTGTAGATCTTTGAAATAAAAGAATTTAATTCAGGATTACACTGGTTATGAAAGAGCTGAAAGCCAAACAAGGCATGGTGAGGCAAACCAGAGTAGCAGCAGTAAGTACCATCCCAGAACTGGAGGAATAAGGAAAGGAAGTGGTATTTCCAGAACCCAGAAGCCAGGGCCATCAAGCCAGAGCCAGAACCACAAAGGGTGCTGTCCAGGCAAAGCTGGAACCATGGATGAGGCTAGCCATTCTGGAAGCGCCACAGGAGATGAGTTTCGGGGTATGCTTTGACTTCCCTTTCTCATTCTGTAATCTTGTATCAGGGCCTTGCTTCACAAGAGAACAAGAGGGCCCTGGAAAATATAGTTTCCTGAAATGCACAGCAGGGGAAGGAAGGAAATAAATCTGAGTGCAAATGAACAGTGAATCGGCTAATTATCTTGCCCATTAAAGAATTCTACCTAATTCAAAATTCTGCATTAAAAAAAAATCTGCTTAGATTTATTAACATAAATAAAAATTTGTCTTTTTATGCTGTGGTCTCTTCCTATCTAAAATACTTTTGTAAGACTTTATTTATTTTTCAGTAGAAGTTAGACCAGAACATTTGAGGAGAAGAGGTATTCAGTGACATTTGATGTAAGGGTGAAGGGTAACAAAAGTTTACCAGAACAAATATTTCCCCATTAGTGAGCAGTTGTTCTCCTTCCTGGATCCTCGCCTCTCAGAGCCATCTGACTGTTTTCATTATTAACAGACGCTCTTTTGTTCTGTTTAGAGACCTCTATGGGAATATGATGGCTACCTTCTATATGTACACACCTCCCACCCCCAAGCCTGATGATATATCTCTAAGAAGAAAATCCCGTGCCCTATTCATGACTAGCTCTGTGCTAAACTCCTTTATAACTCTTCTGAGGGCCCCAAAAGGTCTACAAACAACAGATAATGTGATAGGACTTCAAACAGTGTTCTGGAACATAGAGAAATTGTATGTTACATGTTGTGTGTGTGTATTCATGTGTGTATTCATGTGTATTTTTTTTAAGACAGAGTCTCACTCTGTGACCCAGGCTGAAGTGCAGTGGTGCAATCTGGACTCACTGCAACCTCTGCCTGCTGGTTTCGAGTGATTCTCCTGCCTCAGCCTCCCAAGTAGCTGGGACTACAGGTGTGCACCACCACACCTGGCTAATTTTTTTTTCTTTTTGTATTTTTAGTAGAGATGGGGTTTTAACATGTTGGTCAGGCTGGTCTCGAACCCCTGACCTCAGGTGATACACCTGCCTCAGCCTCCTAAAAGTGCTGAGATCATAGGCGTGAGCCACCGTGCCTGGCACATGTGTATTTTTTAAGGAAATTTTCAAAACTCAAAAAGTATTTAGAGATAATGTCCTAGATATTCCCTGAGGGATGTAAAATATATATGTGTTATAGTCTAGGCCATTTTAGGTTGATAGAGTGTACAAATTGTAGGAGTATATTAAAGGTAGGGGAAAAATCTTATAAGAATAAATTTCCTATTTCTCTTCTATATGGCTTTTTTAAAAAATGCCACTGTGGTTCTTCAGGAGTAGTCATTATACTCCTCTTGGTTTTTACACTGAATTATGTAGTGGTCTTCATATGCTAGAAGTGAAACATACAGATTTGGCTCCTTTTTCTAGAAAGAAACACATAATGAGAAATCTATACCCTTCTTTTTCTGAGTTATGAATCTGAACACCAAATTTTATAAATAGAAACAAATTCTAAAACATGATTGTGATCTCTACCACTAAAGATTCATCATAAGGTCATAGAATGTCAGTGGTGGGAGGAACTTTAGAACTTATCCATTTCAACTGTTCACGTTATTCAAGGAGAAACTGAGATGTCTTGAGAGAATATGACTTGACTACAACTGGTCATTTCTGTTTATCACATTCCTGGTTCCTTGTATCTGTAGTTGAAAAATAAAGGTGCTCAGCTACCATTTTACCTATCTATTAGGGTGAATTAATAATTAATGGGGATTTTTCCATTTTCTACTAAACCCTTTGATTGAAGATAGCACTCAAACAATTCTGTAAATAACTAGAATTAATATTTATCAGCACATTGCCCCTTTTCTCTTTCTAAAAAAAAATGGTAAAGAATGTTGGCTGTTGGGTAGAACAGTTTGGCTTCAAACTCTTTCATGAGGGCCAACTATGACCAAAAATGGACTATTAGCAGTTTCTTAACTTTGTTAGGATGCGTCTCCTTTATCTATAAAATGAGGACAATCAGAGCACCTACTTCATAAAGGTGTTGTGAGGATTAAATTAGCAGAAATACCTGGAAAGGTCATATGGCACATAATAAGTTTTTAATAAACACTAACTGTTTTTAGGTGCTTGGAGTCTTAGTACACTGGATACTCACATTGTCCAGAAAGGAAACTGGAAAATACTGCCCTAATCGTAAGCACTTGGAAACACTCAACCCTGCATCTGCCAAAATTTATAGCTGATTAAAGCTGGACAGAAAGACATTTACATTTGAGAAATGGTTAAATTGAGTTATGAGACAAGAGCCAGGCGATATGAGATTTATTCTTTATCAATGAAGGGTTCATAAGTTAAAGTAAGTTGCTAGAAACACAATTTTGAAGGAGAAATGAACAAAATAGCAAACAAATAAATTCATTAAAGGTTATAGCAAAAAGCCCAAAGCCTGTCTAGACCAGAACCTTATAAGCCATTGTTTTATAGAAGATTTTGGAGTAACTGAGCTGGTTGTAGATGCTATAATAGAAGGGAAAAATTCCAGTTTGCCTCTTCATAAGCAGAGATTTTGCCCAGATCTCTTTTTTTTCCTCTTTATAATTGGGTTTTGCTTGTTGTCTTTAGCTTGGCAGAATGTGGTCACAAGGATGCCTATGGTTTCTTCCAGTCTGCCTCTCCCTACAGGGTTCTCAAAGCCTTAAATCACAAAGAGGGAAACTGTTGAAATTGTTTCTCTCAATCTCGAGGGTTTTTTTTAATATTACTTTCGCTTTGGCAAATGCATTTATTCAGGCATAGTCTCGTCAGTACTCTAGAAAATGTGATACCATTTTGCACTGAATTTTTAAATGCAAAAAAAGAAAATTGGCCGATTAACAAATATAACTTCTTCTGATTCTGTTCCAATAATCTTGGCGAATTGTTACACTGTAAACTCAGAAAATTAACATTGCCAGATAAACAGTCTGATTATATCTGGCATGATCAAGGTTTCACGGTGAGAAAATGTACAGTTTCCTTAGGCCCCTGACAGAAAGCCATTCTCAGACCTTTTCAAAGGTTTTCAGAAGTTATTACTTGAGATTAACTATGGCATTAGCAAAAAGGTTTAAAGTCTTGTTTATAGTTAGCCCATGGCTCTGAGTTGGCAAGTTCTCTCTTAAATGATCAGTATTTGAGTTCTGGGTGCTAATGAGTGAAGGTTAGCCAGAGGGAATGGGGATGAGGGAAGCAAAAGACGAAATCATTCTCCATAGGGGGAAAGAAGCATTAAAATAAGATCTCAATAATTTTTAGAAGTCAAATTGTGCTTTAATCACTGCCTTCAAAATAAGCTGAAGAAGTCCCACTGACGTTCCCAGCTGTAAGAGAAGAAGTCTGGTTTCACATTTGCATGATTTTGAAGGTCAAATGCCTGCTATCCAAGTCTTACTGATCCATATGGACTAGAAATGCCACAATATGCAATCATCATGAAGGCAGATTGTCTCCTGTAAATCTGTCCTTTCTGTAACACATTCAAAATGTACCGTATTGGCTGGATTATAAATCCTTTCAGGAAATGTGTGCACATTTGCAGAAGCAGCTTCATGTTGATGGATGATGGCATTGATGTTCAGAGAACCCTTAAAATAATTTATCATATGTATAAATCTGGTTTTGCATGTGTCTGGATTTCCTGTGACCAGGTATACCTGTAACTCAAAATCTATTTTCTAGAAGTAAATAAAACCATATTCAAGCTGCTCCTCATGTTTACCATAGATATGGGACCTGGAGATTTTGTGTTATTCCAGATCCCAACTTTATTTGCTAAGTAGAAATTCACTTAAACAGAACCTTAAAGTTTGAGAATGCATTTATCCAAAGATTCTTCTCAATAGTATTTATTTACATTAAAGTAATCAATGTCCCTAATATTTTTAAAATATCATTAATTTTATTATTATTTAAATATACAAATTTTCAGAAACAACCATTGTATAAAAGAAAAATAAATAAATTTGATGATAATTCCAAAGCATTCCACTGTGTTGTGGGAATTAATAACTTTTGCAAACCTGTTTTTGAGGCTTTTCTAGTATGTACTAAACATTACTAAACTCAATTTTCACTATTCTCTAAGTAACTTCTCTCACTTTAAAAAAATAAGCTATCTTTCCTTCTGTCTTAGAGACCATGTACCTTTTTAGCATTGATGAAAGAAGCACTTTCTATGGTCATAAATACACAAATTAGATCCACTCCATGGACACTCAGGAAAAACTTTTTATAAAAAGTGAGTTCTAATTTCAGTTGTTTGAAAATACCGTAGGACATCAGAATTAAGAGAGGTTGCTTTCCAAATAAATGCCCTTATTAAGCAAACAAGGATACTGAAGCCCAAATTGAAGTGACCAAATAAAATCAAGTGGTGAGTCTGTGGCTAGCCTGGATTTAGTACTAGAGCTTCAGTTGGCTGTCGAATTATTACGTGTGTTTTCCCACCATGTGGTACAAGGCCTCTCACTGTAGTAAAAGAGTAAATGAGAAGCTGAGTAGATTTTTCCACAAGTTGATTTTTGTTCGTTAGTTTGTTTTGTCCAAATAATGTCTCATTTTGCACTCAAATTGGTTTACTTATAGCATTTTCCTAAAAGGAAGATATCATTCATTCATCTATTCATTCATTCCACAAACATCTTCTGAGAATCGGATACATGGCAGGCATCTTAGTGGGTGATACAAGAGCATTTATAATCTAGTAATATAACCCAGTGTACAGCAACACAAGTGTGGATAAACAAGGAGCTTCCTAATACAATCCCAGCACATGTTCCTCCTACTAACCTCAAAATAAGATGTAAACCCTGTAGCTATAGTACCTGGTCTTGTCTCAGCTCTACCACTTTCCTGCATGCCCTCAGGAAAATTACTAAATCTCACTGCTGCAGTCTCCTAATATGTATAATTATAGTACTTACCTTATAGAGTGGCTGTAATGATTAATAATTGGTAATTAATTGACATAACTTGAAGATTTTTCAATCATCCAGACACATAAGAAGTGTTCAATAAACAGAATTATTATTATTACTTTTGCTACCACCAAAAAATGAAAAGTTTTCCACAGATAGCCTCCAAGACAACCAAGGTCTAAACTCCATTTCCTGTTATTTTAATCCCTTCCAGTTCCCCTGTCTCCCCTTTAATTCTGACAGAGCATCTAATTTTAAGATACATTTTAATGGCTATTTCTGCAAACAGAACATTTAGCAGTTTGGTGATGAAATCAGGGCAGTTTGAGATGTCGCACGCTAACTAGTTACACTGCACAAAGCCTAACAGTTTGCTTTCTGTTTTTAAAGAAGCGTTTCGTTTAGCCATACTTGTGGCGGCACATGTAATTGAAAAGAGGCATATGGAGACCAGCATGCGAAGCCTAACAAACACTTCAGAGTGGCTTAAAAACTATGCTAATCAGTTTTGGGAAACCATGTTTTAATCTAAAAGAAAAAAAAGACAACCTCCTCAAACCTCAGGTGATTTTTAAAGAAACGGAGTCATTGTTGATATTAACTAACACTGGTTTATTTCCCTGTGCCCTGGCAAATGTCAGAAATAAAATTGAATAATATAAAAAGAAAGGAATGAGAGCACTCGTGACCTGTAGTTTTATGGAGCAGAAATGAACTCTTAATGGAGGTAAGCCAGGACACCAGCACATGGTCAGAGTCTGAGTGCAGACTGTCTCCTCCAGGACATGGAGAAGCGACACAGGCTCACTCTTCCCTCTGCAAGAAGGCGCTGAGCATTACCTGAAAACAAGGAAGGCATCAGATGAACAGACCTTTATAACAGAATGTGCATCTGCCAAGACAAAAATACACGACAAGCTTCTGGTGCTGGCACGCTGACAGTATGAGCAAGCTGTCTTAGTAGTGATTTTGCAAATCATTTGAGTTTAAATTCTATATAGGCTGTAGGGCCCCTGGAGCATCACTTTCTATATTTGGCCTCCTCATTTAGCTATGTTTGGAATAAATAGGCTATGGATAAAAATCATGCCCTTTAAGAGTTTTGCATACACACACTAGTTCTGCATATATATCATATGTGAACTGAGTGATTAATGCAAGTCTATGTTCTCATGCACACACACATACACACACGCATGCATGCACGCAGGCTTTCTAAATGTATTTTTAAGTTGTTTTCCTTTGTGATTTTTTTTCCTCTCTCTTTTTTTTTAAGTTCAGCTCTCTGGCATTTAGTAACCCACAAGCTGCTGTTTCTTTTTCCAAAGAAGTTCAGCTCGATGGAGGGGCCAAGAAAAATGAGCCCAACTGATGATTGTAATCTCGAAAGAAAATATGCTTTTTATCAGGGACCGCATGTTGCCAATGCCAATTAAAGTAAAACTGGGAGATTTCATCAGATACCAACCTGGAGAGCAGACATGACATGCCAAGTATAAGAAAGGAAAAGTATGTTTCAGGTGGAATTTCAGGGATGTCTATTTGAGGTGAAATGTAAAAATATAGGGTGGAAAGTGTAACACAGATTGCAGATTGAGCAATTGTTAACCATCTAGAGAAGAAATAGCACAAAAGCAATGGCATAGATTTTTATTTCAGCTGAGGTAGATGAACATCGTGACTCTGCCACTGACTGCTGGAATTATCTTCACATCTCCAGGGCTTAGTTTCCTCATCTGTAAATCAGGAATCACAAAATTCTGTTTGGATTTTTAAAAGTATTAATAATAATGTGGATTAAGAGACCAGTTTCACAGTATTTATTTGATAAAAGTTAAGAGAGAGAGAGAGAAATTATTAGTTTGTGGATAGACGGATCAAGAAGATCATGTTCCTTTTCAAGTGTTACGGGCAATCATTTAGACACATTCATCCTGCAAACACTGAGTATTCTGTTCATTATTCTAGTGTCTTTCAATGGTAGGCAAGGAGTATTGCAACGGTATGGCATCTTCTTACAGTTTTATTTCTGACACCAACTAATAACATATTCATGAGATCACCTGATTCTACCCCATCAACAGAGATTGCTTTTTACATTTGCTTTGGAGGTACAAAATGTTAAAGGTTAAGGAAAGCTTCACTTCAAGGTTACTCTGACTTAGTTCATTCCTAAAATGATTACGTCAACCTTGAAAGAGTATTGTATGGGTAAAATGAGAGAACCATGCAAAATTACTGACACCCAGTATATAATAAAAATAGTTTCTTTCTCCATTCCCTTAGGTGAGTTGAGTGTTTTTCATATTTTAAGAACTAGTAGAAGTTTGTTAGCTTTTGACTGTGTCTTTGTCTTAAAAAATTGGGTACAAGGGCTGAAATTCATGATTGAAAGACTGGAAATATTTTTGTGCTTTCCAAAGTGTTGAACTTGAGAGAGTTCTTTGAACTTGGTGAAAATGATTATTTAAAAATTTGCAGTATGTTGGACATAATAATTAAGATATGGAAACCAGCTATTGAGCATATATTTTTTCACACATATTCTTTATATAAACCTACCACATTTTATTTTTATGCCTCTTCAAAGTTTATAGTTAGTAGAAATAGATACTTACACTGTACCCATCCATCATTTATTTGAGTATTGTATTATACTGATCCTGAAATTCTGGAATTTGGTCATTTCTTTCTAGAAAGATTCACCATGCATATTTGTGTGAAGTAAGAAACAAGCTCTTACTCAAACTCTTACTCTTATTCTGTGTAGATAGATTCTTTTAAGTCAGTTAAGAAGTTTCGAGTTTCAAAAGACCAATAACCAGGTCATACATGTACTAATTTGGCAAAACCTGAGGCAGTGCTAAGGTCACTGAAGAAGATGGGTTTGTATTAATGTTTCATTCAACTCCTCATATTTGGCCCCAATCACAATAATCATGTATATTTTGTCAACTTTCCTGGGTATTCTGCTCTCCTATAGGGAGAGAATAGAGTTAGAAGTTCAAAGAACTAAATAAAGTGCAGCTGCTACAACTTTGGTTGAAAAGAACATCATTTGTTTGGCTCAAAATTTCTGTGATCCTTCAGGGTGTTTCATTCATCTTCCCAGATAGTTCCAGCCTTCTGAAAATGCTTTAAGACATTCTCAGGAAAACAACATAAATGTAATTCATACTGTTTATCTGAAGTAGTCACACTCAAAAAAGCTATCTTATTTCCATAAATGTAGACTCAAGTTGGGTTCATGCAAAGATAAGATTATACCTACTTTTTAAGCAATCTGGACCTTGCTGTTATCAGTTGTTGCACAGAACACAATGTAATTTGTTTTCATAGAGTGCATATGTATGTGGATTTCTCTATCAGTTCAATACTGTTCATCTTTATTGTTGCCAAGTTGCTATGGTTTGAATGTGTCCACCAGAGTTCATGTGTTAAAAACTTAATTTCCAATGATTAACTTTCAGTGATATTGAAAGGAGAGGCCTAACAGGAGGTGTTCAGGTCACGGGGCACCACCTTCATTAGTGGATTAAAGTCATTATCACAGAAGTGGGTTTCTTATAAAATAATGCATTCAGTCCCTTCTTATTCCCTCTTGCTCTCTCTTTGCACTTCTTTCATGGGATGATGTAGCAAGAAGGTCCTCATCAGATGGCAGCCCCCCAAGTCTTGGAATTCCCAGCCTCCAGAATCATGAGGCAATAAATTCCTGTTCATTGTAAATTACCCAGTCTGTGGTACTCTGTTATAAAAACACAACTAAGACACCTGTGTTGATGGACTTTGCTAACAATAATGAAGGGACATTGTTAACATAATTATTTATTATAGAAAAACACAAAAGTGATCTAAATATTCAATAAAGTTAAAATAATTATGAAACATTGTATAATATTACTAATGTCTATGTAATTAATGTTATTGAAATTTGACTTATAGGTAATTGTAAAAAAATTTTGAGGGCTGCACCTCACATCTATTAAATCAGGGAAAGGACTAGATAGTCTGCACTTTTAAGAAATAGATAAAGCAATTTTGGAGGATTTTGTAATAAAATGTGAGCTTAATATGAAGGTAAGAACCATTACTGTTTTGCTTGCTTCTGTAATGTTCTGTACATAACAGGCATTTAATACATTGATGCTGAATAAATCCATGGAGTATTATCCTCTACAGAAAACTATGTTATTTTTTCAATGATTGTTGAAAGTATATAACACTAAAAGGTACCGTTGATATAATACTCAATGAAAACAGAGAATAAAAATTGCATGTATTCTATGGTTACAAATGTTTTAAAACATATTTTTAAATGGATAAAAATCACACCCAAAGAATCATTTATATATGATAAAAAATGATAAATAGAACCTCACCAAAATTAAAATTTTTCTTTGCAAAAAGACACTATTAAAGGAATGAAAAGACAGGACCATGCTGAGAGAAAATATTTTCAAATTAATCATCCAACAAAGGACTTGTATCAAGAATATGAAAAGAACTCTTAAGCTCAACTGTAGGAAAACAAACAATTTAAAAATAGTCAGAAGATTTGAATTTGTATTTTACCAAAGATACTTGGATGGCAAATAAGCAGAAGTAAGGATGCTCAACATTTTCAATTATTAAGAAAATACAAATTAAAACTACTATAAAATACCACTAATATATTAGGATAGCTTAAAAAATGTTGACAATATCAAGTGCTGGTGAAGAATTAGATTAACTAGAACTCTCGTATACATCTTGTGGGGATGCAAAATGGTAGTTGTTTTAGAAACAGTTTTGCAGGTTCTTATAAAATTAAATATATACTTACCACATGACTCAACAGTCCAACTTGTAAAAATGAAATCTTTTATTTACACAAAACTCTATACATGCATGTTTATAGCAACTTTAGTTATAATCTCCAAAAACTAGAAGCAATGCAAATATACTTAAACTGGTGATTCATAAACTGTGGTGTATCCATTCGGTGGCATTCTCAAAAATACCAAACATATGGTATATTTTGCCAATCATTTATAAATATACATATATGTGTGTGTATGTGTCTGTGTGTGTGTGTATGCATGTTGATCCATGCAACCACATGGATGAATCTTAACTCAAATGCATTATGCTAAGTGATAGAATCTGTGGGCAAATTGATACAACTTGTTTGATTCCATTTATATGACATTCTATAGCCATTTATATGAAAAAAGCAAAACTACAGGGATAGTGAGTAGATCAGTAGTGGCTAGAGGTCAAGAGTGGCAGAAGGGTTTGACAACAAAAGGGCAGCATGAGTGGATTTTTGGAGGGAAATGAACTGTTCTGTTTCTTGATTGTGCCAGTGGTTACATGACTACATTTGTCAAAACTTGAAACTATACATTAAAAATAGTAAATATTATTATTATTATATTATACAAAATAAAAAAGTAAATGTAAAGAAATGCAAGGAACTCAAAAGTAAAAGAGTGTCAACGTGTTATGTGGGTGAACTTCTTTTTTACCTTCACTTCCCAATTTTTTTTCTGTGATATAATTTAAAATATTTATTTAAGTAACAGTTAAGTAATAATTATAGTAACTTCTCAGTATCCATAATGGATGGGTTCTGGGACCCCCATGGGCACCAAAATTTACAGATGCTAAAGTTCATGATATAAGATGGTGTAATATTTGCAAATAACCTACACACATCCCTCTTGTTTACTTTAAATCATCTCTAGGTTACTTATAATACCTAATAGAATGTAAATGCTATGTAAATAGTTGTTATACTGTCTTGTTTATGAAATAATGACAAGGAAAAACATCTGTACATTTTCCATACAGATGCAACTTTTTGTGAATATTTTTGGACTACAGTTGGTTGAATCCATGGTTGTGGAACCCACAGCTACAGAGGGATGACTGTATCATATATAAAGGAAAGAGTTCTACCATAACACTGTGTTTAATTAGCAGAGTCACTGGTTATTTGGTCTTCCTCATAAATTAACATTGCATTTGTCTTTGCAAAGTTAAGTGTTACCTGCAATTGGATCTATATGGCTGCAAACCAACCAATTAAAAAAATAGTTAACAAATTAGATGCTTTCTCTATACCACATCCATCTGTTTAATTGCTACATTTAATAAAATATAAACTTTCTCTATATGCTCCTTCTTTACCTCAAGCTATTTGCCTCCCTCTCTTGCCTGCTACCGCTACAGCTACGTTCACACCTTTGACACTTACAGTAAGACACTTCCAACCTGGCAAATTCCTGCACATTGTTCAAAATGTGGCTTTGATATTTTCTTTCCTAGAATCTGTCTGATTCATTTGCCCAATCTTTCTTCTAAAGATGTCTTCTCTTTGCCTCCTTATCAGAGTTCACATTAAACTCACCATATTTTATTAAAACACTCCTTGCAGTTGACTTTATTCACTACCTAGATTATAAGTTCCTTAAAGCAGCTTGTCTAATACATCTTACACCCTCAATTATTAGACAAAAGCCTGGTACACGGTAGCTACTTGACACATTTTTATTGTCCCTATATGATACGTTTTATTGCCTGTACTGAATAAACTTATTATTTTAAGTGTATCCTACATATATTTTTAGTTTTATGGCCAATACTTTTCTTAGGAAATTATTTTTAAAATGAAAAGAAAATCCCTCATTGTTATATGTTAAGGTGGTTGGCCTATGTTTTATTTGAGTTGGATAGATTCTTAGAGCCACATGCCTTGCTTGGTTCATTCGTTCATTAGAATGGGCCACGTCCTGACAGCTGAGGGAAAGTACGTTGTAATAAACCTTCAATGATGCTCATAACCTGGCTGCTTTCTAAGATTGTGTTAGTTACTTTATTTTACTGAATTGATAAAGATTAAACTTTCATAGAAATGAATAGATTAAATACTATACAGATAATTTGTAGGGATGATATTATGCCACTTCATAGGTAATATACCAAGTCGTATAGCCTCCCAAAGTACATAAGCTCATAAGCTCATAAAAGCAAAAGGTGAGAAAGCTGTCATCCAATCCCATTATTTTATTTGTAAAATAAACATACCCATACTTTATCCAGCTAGTTAGGAGCAGAACCATGGTCAAAACTTTTAGTGACTGAAACATATGTAACTTAGTAATTTGTTTGAATTTTGAAAACAGAACACTGGGGAGAAATCAGAATGGATTAATGTGCAATATGGGCTCTCTGCATTTTTCAAAAACAAAGAATAAAAACTTTAATAAAGTACAGTGATTTACTAAAGTAAATTTAAGTTTTCTAAAGTACTGAAGGTGAAAAGTTTGAGAAAAGATAAGGTGATTCCCAATACATAAATTATACCCTACAAAGATTTTTATCATAGAAACTAGGTCAATCCTATTCAGAAGGGCAAAGATAAAGCTAATATTTGCCAGGACCTGCCCACCACACCACCCCTCCATCCCCGCATAGTAGACAAAGAGGAGTCCGGTTACTAGAATTTTCAGTTTCTGACATATCAACAAGACAAAGTATTCATATATAAATTTTTTAAAAATGACCAACTTCTATCTTTGAGTCTTACTATTCCATGACATTAGTTGTCAACAAGGATGACTTACAAGCTGGTTAGCAGTACATATTTTCCAAGACAGGTGGCTAAGAAACCGCAGCGTGAACCAGCTCCACTCTGTGCTCATCCCACAGAAACATCCACTCAGTGTGACACTTGCATTTGACCCATAAGCAGAGAGTTTCACCTGATACAGGGTGACCCCATTACAAATAAATACCTGTCTTTTCCATCCCAAGCTTCCTTGGTTAAGTAACACAGCTTCCATTAAAGACATTACAGGAGGACTCAATCACTTGTCCAAAGGGGATAATGAATTGAAAAGTACAGTGGGGATAAAGGTGGCATTTCCATGGATAACAAGAGACACATCAGGCTCATTTCAAAAGAGTAGAAGTGACAAAGCCAGTCCCTATTGACCACCAATTACTTCTAACAAAAATAGCAACCATGCTTCACAGAGAGACATTCTGCATCCAACTAGGTCTCACCTAAGCCCTACTGCATGTCTTCCAAGTTCCACCATCTTTGCCTCAGCCCCAGTGCATGTCTCCCAAGCACCAGTGCCGTTGAGTCTTCTGCCCATCAGAACTCTTGCAGAAGCAGTGAATATCCAAGCTTAAGTGGCTCATATCCCTTTGATTAAAAGATTCAAACATATTTTTCTGTCACTGTCTCTTTGTGCAAGAAATACTCTTCTGGCTTTCTTTTTTTACAGAAATTGGATTAAACAGCATGCTTTGCAAACAACAGATAGGAATGCTAATTAAAGGACAGACCTCACAATCACACAAAAAGCAGCTCTGCACCAAAGTCTTTTTATTTCATTTCAAATGTGATGCCTGTGATTTAGAAAGACGGAGCTTATGTGAACTCTATTTACTAAAGATAGAACACCAGCAAATAGACTTAGCAAAGAAGGTAAAGCCACAAATTTAAACAACAATTTCCTTACATTTCTATTATGATTAGTAATATTTGATCAGTATGAGTGAAAGCTAACGTCTTGATTACAGATGCCAACAAAAGAGGTGTTAGAAAAGCCTAGGTTCCTTCTGAGAAAGGCAAAAATATAATGTTAAAATGTGATCTGACTGCTGAAATTTAAATATACTTTTTATTGTTACTCACTGGGACAAAGAATTTGATTAAAAAGTCTTAATTTTTAAAAGCACAAACACAATAGAAACATTAATATAGTACAATCCCTATTATTTTTCTTCTAATTTGGACCACAATTATTCATTCAACATGTTGATATTGAGTGTATAAAGCCCTATGTTTTGTACTGAGAATACAAAGGTGAAGAAGTCATGGTTTCCACTCCCCAAGTATCACACTCTAGGGAGGATGAATGATGTTTGAACAGATGGTTACAAAGCAAGGTAATAAAGGCAACAATAGTTAAATGCACGAAGTATTCTGAGTATCTTCCATAGTCTAGGAAAGATGTGAGTTGCTAAGGCTGCAGGGGAGGGAGGAGCACTGATCAGGGTAAATCCTTGTAAAGGAAAAAGAGGAGGTTAACTATATTTAATATGAACAGGGCAAGAAATTGAGGCATTGTGTCAGTGTTCCAAGTAATTTGTCATTACTTGAGGATACAGAATTAAAGGGCATTGCAGGAGCTGATGCTAGGATTGTGCACATCAGCTAGATTAGGAAGGTCCCGGCACACAATGCCAAGAAAATTAGGCTCTGTTCTCTAGGTCTGGAAGCTAACAGAGACTCTAGCTGAAAGTTCATGTGTGCAGTGTGAAGAATCCCAGGTATTTCTGTCATGCTCTCCTGGTTCAGAACCATATATTAATTCCTTCAACAAATAATTGTCATGTGCTCACCTTAGGTCAGGCAGTGTTCTGGGTACCAGGGATCTGATATTGAATAGTTAAAGTCAGCCTCCTTGTAGAGTAATTGATGGTTAACAATTTGAAGATTTTAGGTGAGATTTTAAAACTTTCTGGCTGTTATGTGAAGAATGGGACCAAGACTAGGTATAGGAAGACAAGTTAGGAGGCTCTTAAAGTAATCTGAGAGGCTCTAAAGATTGACAGTGATAATACTGGACAAAGGAGATGAATTATAAAAATATTTAGGAGTAAAGTAAATGGGACGTGATTATTGGAGGTAAGATGAATGGAGTTGGAGGAGGTGAGGAAAGAAAACGTTAAGAATAAATTCCAAGATTTTAATTTAGGTTATTGAGTGAATGTTGGCCCCACAAACCAAGATAGATAATAAATCAAAAGTATTCAATCTTTACCAATGACCATAAACAAAAGGCATGGGAAAAATATATATAGCATTACATGTAGGATTAGATGTACCTACATTACATGTAGAATTAAGATAAGGATGGACATACAGCTGTTGATTTATGGTGTGCAAGAAAACAATAAAATATTTGATGATGTATCAATAGAATTTCAGAAACAGGACTTTTTTTCACATAAAAATGTATTATCACATTAGCAGAGGATTTAATTTAAATATTTCAGAAATTCCAAAATTTTGAATATACATCAGTCACCACTTCATTTCTGTTGGTAATTGCTCATATTGACACCAGCGTGAACTAACCATGGCTCAGGTAGAAAACAATGCAACTGACACTATATTTTCCTCTGCCAACAACTCAGGAGGGAAGGAATCCACAAATTAGGTTGACACATGGTGTCTAGAAAGAATTAATTCCCACTCGATTCTGGGCAGCCTTACAAGCTGGGTTCCATCCATAAAGACTGATGGGAACTCTGGGGTTTGGTTTATATGGTGATATTTTCTGTTGCCATCAACAACCGGACATAAGAATACTGATCACTGAAGAACATTTCTTTTGTTTTTGCTGCTATATTATATCAAGACACTTGGGAATTGTTCCACACTTGGAAGTTGTTCTTAACCTGCATTCAATAGTTTTTCTGTATTTGTCATGTTGATATCTTCTGGCAGGAACACTGAGACATTTATTGTAAAAGCTTTATCAGGGGACAAAAATATTTTGGATATGCCAAATCAAATTAGAGTGCACTTGAACAGTCATCATCCATCTTTTATCCATGATTAGCATTCATTATGCAGTATCAGAAGGATTTACATTAGAATTAATAGACATCATGGAAAAAAATATTTTTAAATGTTTCCTGCTGAAACCAGGACTACTTAAGGAGCAGTTATTCAGCATAACTGGGTTAATTATGACCGTAGTACTCTCCCAAATATTTCTAACACCTATTGGCTGGCATTCAAATTAGTGTTAGACAAAAATGGTAAAGTAGGCCACATTTTATCTTTTGGATCCCCTTGTTTTCAATTTACTCTCATTTATTCAAAATTTATTTATTAAGTGCCCATTACACACTAGACACTATTCCAAGCAAAAAGTCCTACCCTCACAGAGATTACCCTCGATCCTCTTTCAGTTCTTCTAATTTCCAGCCCTCAGTGTGTTCTTTCGCTCTGGTTTTCCTAAAAGTATAAAATTCTTACGCTTAGAGTCATGTTATGTGTCTTTGACAAAAACATAGAAGTGATTCTGTATTCTTATTGCACCCTACTTGGTGGTGCACAGTGTCAATTTGTCCTATTACTGAGAATGTTCATTTTAGTCAAGTGATTAATGATGTGTCTGCTAGGTATCCTTACTGTAAATATAGCTTTATTTTTCTTTTTAATTAATACATATTTTCTGGGGTGGCACTTTGAAATTTTATACATTTATTGTTCTTCATCAAAATTTTAATGTATTCAGCTATCTGTTTTTATACATATGTGCTTGTGGATTCCAATTTTATCTTACGCTTTGTAATCTATATGACCATTCTTTAATTTTATGATAAAATTTTCCTGGTTTGGCCAGTGGGAGCCCTTTCAAGTGGACTTCTGAGTCTTTTTGGCATGTGTCCATAATTTTAGCAGAACCACAATTACTCCAGCCTCATCTTTTACTTTCTTGGCCTCAGCCCTAGGAATCAACCATTTCTCCAAGAACATCTTTTCTTTTGAGTAGCAAATGGAATTAAGAAACCAATATTTGGGTGCTAGCTGCTATTGGGTTATCTCTTCTCACAGATCCTCCCATAATATATATGGATATTTTCATCTGTATTGATTTCTATATGTATCAAAATACATTGAAAACCATGAGATCTCATCAATAATTCAACATCCAATCCAACACCACAGAGAAGGAAAGGAAGGAAAATAGAAAGAAAGGAAAGGGAATAGGTAGGGTAAAGAAGGAGAGTGAAAGGAAGGGAAGAGAAGGGGGAAAAAAAGGAAAGGGGAAGAGAAGAAAAAGGAAAGGAGAAGTGGAATTCAATGAAGTTTAGAATATCCTTTTAGAAAAGCTTAGAGGAAAAGCAGGAATTCACATTCACAACCATAAATGAAGGCACAGAGAAAGTTTTTGAAAGAGAAATGAGTGAGAAGGGTAGAAGTTTTACTGATTCTTTTTTTTTTTTCAGATAGCAGATACTCTGAGCTTTTTAGAGCTGTTAACAATGATCATGTCTCTATGACATGGTTGATCTGGATGGAAGACAACTAATATGGTACTTTTGCCTTTTGAAAATGTATGTGGTTGTTGTTAGATCACCAAAATAATACTGGAGGAATAATTGTTTTTCAGTAACAGTAATCTTTCCCTCTCCAGTTTTGTTTTTGGCTCTATTATAGCATTTGAATCAAATTATGAACACGTACTAATGCCTTGTATGTTATAGGCTAGAAATTGGGGATACAAACATGAGTAAAAACTATATTCAAGAAGTTTACAGATGAATAGAGAAGAGACATAACAGTAAATAGACCACTGTGATTTAACTGTAATTGGATGTTAGCTGTTCTGACAGAGTACTTCCCATGTGTAAAGTAGTGTGCTTTAAACTTCCCTGGCACATTGGTCCCAGTTTATGTGCATCCCCAGATCCATACCACTCTGCCTGTTCCCCACCTCAGTAATGTCCATTGCTTCTTGGTCAGAGGGGACCTCTCAAAATCTCGCTTCATTCACGTGGCCATAAAATCCTGCCTGCTGCCCTGCCATAGGCCCGGTAGCCCTCACTTGTCGTGCCAACTGGTAAAAGGAGACCATTCTACCCTTGTGGTGGTCAGACTAAACCCACAGAGGTTACAGCTTCCCCATTAGTTGCTAGACAAAATAACTTAACCTTTACTTGTGGGGGAGTAAGTGACTTGACCGATGGAAGACAGGAGTGTAGAAGGAGCCACAGAAAAATTGCTCATCTATCTTGTCCTGACTCAGTGATTTATGACAGATCAGTTTTCCCTCACATGACTGAACAACTGGCTTTGTTGTATTGCAACACTGTGCTTACTTCTGTAACGCGCCACCTTGTGAATATGTTCTCTCCTTACCTGCCTCGTTCCTCTTTTCTTCTTCATTTGACTTCACCCTTGCCTCTCTAGGATTTTACCTTCAAATAATAAATTCACACAAAAACGTTTGCATCACTTATATATTCCAGGAAACACAGGCTAAGAGAAGTTGCATTAACTCAACTCTCATCACAATCTTCTGCACTTGGCATAAACTATTAATGTCACCTCTTAGGCTCATATTTTTTGACTTCAGGGTTCATGTGCATGACCAGTAGACTGTATCATGATGGATCTAGAGACACATAACTCAGCCTAGAATGAACGGTCAGAGGAGTTAGTGCCCAAGCTGAGCTTTGAAAGACTGTAGGAATTTGGCTGGTGAAGGGAAAGAAGCATTACAGATATAAACAAAGGTAAAGAAGTAATACAAACCAAAAATATATCTGTATTGTTGGAGAAGGAAAGAAGCACTGGAAATAATGATAATAGATGTTAGTAAGGGGGAAAAGTAGATAAAATAGTAGCTGAAATGGGATTTAGAGTTTGAGCATAATTAAAAACTAGTAAGAAGAACCAAGTTAGGTGAGGGAAGTAGAATATATAAGAAAAGGGCAGGATAATCAACAGTGTGTGTTTCCTGAAAAGGAAGAACAGATGAAATTCATGGAACAGGTGCAGAATTTGGCATCATGTAGGGATTAAATAAAAAGGACAGTCAATGTCAAGGGAAAAACTTTTAAATTCTCTCTTGAGACTTGTCCATGTTTGTAGTCTGCTGAAAAGAAGCCCAGAGAAAAAGAGAATAGAGAGGAGATGAGACGGATTATTATCTAGAAGCTATCAGGATAACACTTAATTTTCTGAGACTGGAGGAAAGAGTTAAGTTGTAAATAAGCTAGCAGGAGAGAGGAGTATAATAAAGTTAAAAGACACACTGCTCCCAATGTTCTTTTTGGTTTTCATCTAAAATTAGAGAGGTAATCTGTTAATAATGGAGGATTGCCATTTGACAGCTGGTAGACAGTAGTGGGGAACGTTTAGACTGCTTGAAGAGAGGAAAGAGAGAAGGAGTTGTCCAAGTAAAACAAATGACTTGGTCAAGTGGCATTTGGGAAGCAGTGGAGATTTAGAACATAAATCAACACTGAGTGTCATTGAGACACATAGCTTTGCATTATTTTTTCTCAGCAATACTTACTACCACTGCTGTAGGAATGATTAAAGTTGGTAAATTGCTGACCGGTACAGGATTGGGCTTTTGCTGGTGAGTGGAGCAGAAGAGTATTAGAGTATATTTTCTAGCTAAAAGCTCTTTTATGATCTATACAGCCATATGGCAACTTCCTCTTTGACATATTCCACAAATTAAATGTGATTCAACATGAGGACAGAATTAAAAACAAAAACCATATGATCTCCTCAATAGTACAGAAAAAGCTTTTGAGAAAATTCAACATCTCTTTATATTAAAAACCCTCAACAAACTAGGCACTGATGGATCACACCTAAAATAATAAGAGCCATCTGTGACAAATTCACAAACAACATCATACTGAAGGGGCATACACTGGAAGCACAGTTCTTGAGAACTGGAACAAGGAGAGGATGCCCACTCTTACCACTCTTGTTCAACATGGTACTGGAAGTGCTAGCTAGAGGAACCAGGCAAGAGAAAAAAAAAAAAAAAAAAAAAAAAGACATCCAAATAGGAAAAGAAGAAGTCAAACTATCTGTCCTTGTGTACAATATGATTCTATATCTTGAAAACCCTACGGACTTCACCAAAGCGCCCCTGGAACTGATAAATGACTTCAATAAGATTTCAGAATATAAAAATCAATGTACAAAAATTAGTTACATTTCTATACACCAATAATATCCTTACTGAGAGCCAAATTAAGAATGTAATCCCATTTAAAATGGCCAGAAAAAAAATAAAATATCTAGAAACTCCTCTAGCCTAGAAGGGGGAAAAAAAGACCTCTACAAGGAGAACTACTAAACACTGCTAAAAGAAATCATGGACGACACAAACAAATGGAAAAACATTAAAAGCTCATGGATTTAATAGTAATTGGCCACACTGCCCAAGCAATCTATAGACTCAATGCTATTTCTATCAAACTGCCAAGATCATTTTTCACATAACCCGCAAAAAAACTATTCTAAAATTCATATGTAACCAAAAAGGAGCTGGAATTGCCAAAGCAATCCTAAGCAAAAATAACAAATATGGAGGTTTCTTATTATCTGACTTAAAAATATATTATAAGACTCCAATAACCAAAACAGCACAATACTGGTGTAAGAACAGACACATAGGCCAATGGAACAGAAAAGGTAATCCACAAATAAAGCCACACTCTGACAGCCATCTAATCTTTGACAAAGTCAACAAAAATAAGCAATGTTGTTAGGACTTCCTACTCAGTAAATGGTGCTGTGATAGCTTACTAGCCATATGCAGAAGAATGAAACTCGACCATACCTTTCAGCATATACAAAAATTAACCAAGATGGATTAAAGATTTAAATATAAGACCTCAAACTATAAGAATCCTAGAAGAAAACCATGAAACACCATCCTAGACATGGGCGTTAGGAAAGAATTTACGACTAAGTCCTCAAAAGCAATTGCAATAAAAACAAACATTGACAAGTGAGACCCTAATTAAACTAAACAGCTTCCATCCAGCAAAATAAACTATCAACGAAGTAAACAGACAGTCCACAGAATAAGAGAAAAATATTCAAAAACTCTGCATTCAGCAAAGGTCTAATATCCAGGATCTTAAGGAACTTCAACAGCTCAGAAGCAAAACAAAAAAACAACAAAAACAAAAAAACAAAAAAAAAAGTCCCATTTAAAAGAGGGCAAAGGACAAGAACAGATACTTCTCAAAAAAGACATACAAGTGGCCAAAAAACATGAAAAAAATGCTCCAACTCACTAATCATCAGAGAAATGCAAATCAAAACCACAATGAGATACTCTCTCATACCAGTCAGAATGGGTATTATAAAAAAGACAAAAAAATAGCAGATGCTGGCAAGGCTGTAGAGAAAAGGAAACACTTATAAATTGTTAGTGGGAATGTAAATTAGTTCAGCCACTGTGGAAAAATGTTTGGAGATTTCTCAAAAAACTTGAAATAGAACTACCATTCGACCCACCAATCCCATTACTGCATATATATTTAAAAGAAAATAAATCACTCTAATAAAAAGACACATGCACTTGCATGTTCATTACAGCACTGCTCACAATACTCAAGTCATGGACTCAACCTAGGTGACCATCAGTGTTGAATTAGATAATGTAACAGATATACACCATGGAATATTATGCAGCTACAAAAAAGAACAAAATCATGTTCTTTGCAGAAACATGGATGCAGCTGGGGGACATCATCCTAAGTGAATTAATGCAGGAACAGAAAATGAAATACTTCATGTTTTCACTTACAAGTGGGAGCTAAACACTGGGTATTCATGGACATAAAAATGGCAACAATAGGCTCTGGGGACTACTGGGGGGCAGGAAAGAGGACAAGTGTTGAAAACTAAGTGTTGGGTACTATGCTCAGGACCTGGGTGAAGGATCATTTGTTCCCAAACCTCAGCATAATGCGATATACTCAGGTAACAAACCTGCACATGTACCCCCTGAATCTAAAATAAAAGTTGAAAGAGAAAATAAATACATATATAAATAAATGTTTGTTGAATGCTGTAATACCATGCTGAGATCATAATGGGATTAAAGACATAGGCAACCTAGAAACCTAGGATTTTATGGTTAAAACATTGAACATTGGTATGAAATGATTTAGTTAGAATTGTTCCAAATCATGACAAGATTGAAGGTATGGCTGTGAAGGTAGATAGCTATGGTGGATAAAGTTGAAGGTTGTCAGAGTAAAACAGATTTAAAAAAAAAATTTCTAAAGTCAATATGTTTGTGGATTATTCAAGAAAATACTTATAATTAAAGTCCTTAGGTTAGAAAGAAGTACAAATACTGGGGTCAAATTCTTTGATTAGTATGGGGGAATTGTAGATGACTGAAGCAGGGAGATGTAAAAACTACATAGTAAGATACCAAGGACTCCAAATGAAAATGAGCTGTTACGAAAGATAAAAAGCAAAATGACTGAGAAATGATTAAGTACTGAAAAGACTGTTGAGTACCTATCAACTCACTCACTCTGGGAGGATCCAGCTCTCCAGGATGATGGTAAGATGTCCTTGACTTCAAAGTAGAGCACCTGGAGAATAAGTTCCACCTCTGTCCTGTCCTGGGCTCATGATTTTTTGGTGCCCCTTCAAGTAGCACTGCAGAGAAGATGGGAAGAAAACTGAGATGTATACCTGCATGATTTGTATTTGGTATATCTGACCAGAGTCCTTATGAGGAGCAATGAGTTATCAATACACAGTGAATATTCCTTTCTTTTTCAATGTGAATGCTCTAGTTGATCCCTTTGATACAAATTACATTCTTACCCCTCTCTGAACTCATTCTTGTCTGTAGCACAAATTTCTCAAAGTCTTCCACAGATTTTGTCCAAAGCGGAGCTAGCCACTTGAGGCTGACCATAATTTACACCATCAGTTGCATATAGTTTGTTCTTATAAAATTCTAGTGCCATAAAATGGGATATTTTAAGCAAGGACAAATAAAGTCTTAGGAGTAATTCTTTTTACAGAAACATTTAAATCTACCTAGCTGGAAAATTATGATACTATTGGCTATCTTAATTCTTCTGAATAAAAGAATGTAAACCATCCCACTATCCTGCTTGTTTTCTCTCTTTATTTTCTCTCTCTTCCTCCTCAAAGCTGCTGATCTTCAATCCATAATTTGACTCTTGTTTTTATGAGATAATCTCTATATCTTACACTTCCTATATAAGATATTCCCTCTCTGGTCAATGTTTGCTATTCCATAGTGTTCACTAACTATGCCTCATTTATCAATCTGTCTTCAGTGTGTATATTTACTGGATTGTGAGCTTTTCACATCAGAGCATATTATACATTGTGGTAAATTAATAGTATTAATAATTTTACTTAAGGCCCACCCTGAGTGCACACCTTGTGGTTTAATAGTTCATCCCACCTGAGCACAAGGACTGGCCATGTGACTTGCTTTGGCCAGCAAGATGTCAGCAAATGGAACAACTGCAGAGGCTTTAAAAATGTATGTGTATTTCTACTTGTTCTCCTAACAATTGAGCTTGCTCATTCTTATACCTGTCTCTTCATGAGCACATGTGAAGAAGAGTTGAGGCTATTCTAGACTAGTCATCAGCCACTGATCCCTAAATACATGAGAGCTCAGTCAAAATGAACGCAATGGCTTTCCCAGCACTCAGCTATTGGTCAGCACATACAGAGCATAGCTGAAACTACAGGAACTTTCCTGCTGATCTGTAGCCTTGTGAATAATAATAATCTGGTTATTGTGATGGCCCAGCACGGTGGCTCACACCTGTAATCCTAGCACTTTGGGAGGCTGAAGTGGGTAGATCACCTGAGGTCAAAAGTTCAAGACCAGCCTGGGCAACATGGTAAAACCCTGTCTCTACTAAAAATACTTAGCCGGGTGCAGTGGCACATGCCTGTAATCCCAGCTACTCAGGAGGCTGAGGAAGGAGAATCGCTTGAGCCCAGGAGGTGGAGGTTGCAGTGAGCCAAGATTGCTCCATTGCACTCCAGCCTGGGCGACACAGCAAGACTCTATCACGAAAAAAAAAGGAATAAATAATAATAATAATAATCTGGTTATTGTTTTAAGCCACTGAGGTTTGGAATAAAGTGTAATGTAGCATTGTTGTGTCGTATTGAATTGAACACTTAACTAATTACACATTTTCTGCAAAATTTAGTATTCCATAGGCATTGTTTTATTTAAAGATGAGTAAATAAACCACGGTCAGGTTTCAAGGTAAGTTAGATGTATGTGAATGAGACCACCATAATAGTATCTCATCGCTGACTCATTACATAACCAGAGACTACAATCCATTGCCAGAAAATGAGCTTTTCCAGAGCATAATCAATGCATTTTTTTGTATACCCAGTACCTAGGAGAGTGTCCGGTATATTCACAATATCATAGGCACTTAGTCAATAAGTGAATGAATAAAAAGACAAATTAATTAATTCTAGTCAGTTAGTTTAAAAATTGAGTACAAAATTTATTTAATGAATGAGGGAATGAGGATTCAACATTGCTACACAGGAAGTTCTTTGTTTATTACAGTTGCTCCCTGAAATATGATTAAGGAGTGGAAAACAATCCAATTAAACTAAGCCTACAAATAAAGAAATATATAGGAATAAAGGAGAGATGGGCAATCCTGAAGAATGGAACATATTTTATAATGCAAGCATCCCAGAGAAAAGAAGAGTTAGGAAGGAAAAACATTCTATTTTGCTAAAACAGCTTCCTCAGAACTTCTCATGCAATGTTTTCAAAGTGAGTGTGCATAAAGTCTACCAATGACTTCTTATTTCTGTAACTTGGGCAACATTGCTTTAGAATGAGATGTACATAGTTGTATTTCTTGTGATTTCAACCAAAACTAATTTTGTTGTTAGTGTCTTTTAAAAATAAATGCAAAAGCTTGCCTTTCCTTTTTCAGATTCCAAATAATAGCAGGATTTTAACAGTTATTCTTGGAGACCAAGTAATGTTGATACATTACTATGCAGATAGCTCCATGTTGCAGCAGTGATGTTTTGTGCTTGGATGATAATAACTGTCAAAATGCAAGGGGTTAGTGAACAGGACCCATGGGGAATGGCAGGATGACACTCTATGCAAGACATTTTGCTAATAGGTCTGAGAGCAATTACTGTAAGGTTTATGATCACAACACTTAACCCTCTCACTCTCAAATTGTGGGAAGCTTAGCCAGCAAACTGCTTGAGGAAATTTTTGACACTATATAATGTTTTATCAGTAAAGTCTATTGAGGGAGCATGCTATGAAGACTGCTAAATATGTCTGTATATCAGAAACATCAACTTGGTCTATAACATAGCTGCTGTACAGGAAATGAGCAAATCAGAGAAGATAGGGGTCTTTTTAATTTACTAGATCCTGAGCTAGCTTATTCTGGTTACTTGCATTTATAACTTTAAGTTCAGCTGATCAGTTACTCTTTTCTCGTTTTGATTAACTGCTCCTTCACATCAGCGTTAAGATCTCTTCGTGTCATACTTGAGTGTTGTTATGACATTTTGCTAGTTCCTGTTTCGTTTGAAGAAAATGTAACCACATGAGTTGTGTTTACGGAAGATACCATGGGCCCTTTACCCATCATTCAATATTCTTTCCAAAATATTCTAAATCTGCTTTCTGCCTTTCTGTCAAACAATAAGATACCTTGGCTTCTCAACCCCATCATTTTTTGTATACACCAACACATGTTCTGTTATTTATTTGCTCTTCATCTGCTATGAATAAAAAGGATCAAGTTATCTTCAGATTAAACCATAACTATGAGTGTGGGGGTCATAAACAAATGTGATTATTAAAAGGAAGCTTTATAATTTAGAGATCTGGCAAGAGGGTGACAATATGGTAGAGGTTAAATGTGACATTAAGTCACTAAGTGATTTGGAGATAGGCTCTGAGCCCATAGCATTCAGATGTAATACGTTTCTAATTCCAATCAGCATGCCTTGCAGAGATTGACAATTTAAGTTGAAAAATTCACAAAAATTATCTTCAAGTTTGATAATTATGTATAATATAGGCATTTTTATAAGTAGCTACTATGAGGTCCTTCTAAAAAATTTATGTTTGGATAAGTGAGAATATAGTTTTTTCCCTAAAATCTCATACAATAAACTTGGCATTCTTTTCTGCAATACTTATACTGCATCAATTTGCAAAATAGAAGGACAATTGCCAATAATAATAAGCTTCATTTTTAATGTTTATTAAAGAAAGTCATTTGACGTACCTATCCAATCAGTTCATAAGAACCTCATCGAAGGCTTTTTGATACATGTGTACATTTGTAGTCATTATACATATATAAGTACACTTATTATAATAAATTTCTAGCCTTAAGCAGTAAACTTTTGTTGAGAAATGAGCAGCTTTTTAGAGTTTACACAAAGGCACTGTTTAGTCCAGCAATAAGGGTGACATTTTCTTAGATATGATTTTTAACCCCAAAATGTGAAGTCTCCAGAAGGAGTTGATACTAAATGACTTTGCCTTCCTGGATAGAGCTATTTGGCTCAGTGGAGGACACGTGCTCATGCCGGGCTGATCAGAATCACTCTCCTCATCCATTCCTACTTGAAATCAAAAGCTACAAGGTGGTTACTTTTTCCCTTGTGATGAAGTCAAAGAAGCTAATCTCATGAAGACAAGAATCATAAACCGATGAAGAGAGGAATAGGGAAAAGAAGGGGAGGAGGCATAGTATCTAACAGTTGGTTGGCTTCATTTTCAATGGTTTTCCACCTCCCAGCTCCAGGCACTTCTGAAGTCTGGCTATCTTTTGTTGCCATGGATTTTAGGAGATATGTACACATTATTTTAATGAAACAACTCCCTCCCATTTAAGAAAATCAACTTAGATTGAGCAGAGAATAGTAGCCTTATCAAGAGAAAAATTATGATATCTGAGATGGAAAAGAACAGGGTGTGATGAAAACCTACAGAAAAGACCTCAGACTCAAATTTGGGGAATGTGGTTATTTTCTTGGAGACAGTACCAACCATGGGGGTAGAGAGATGGAGTGAGCCAGAAGAATAACAGAATGGACTCCAGAAAGAAAAAACAGTGTCATGAAGGCCATGGATGAGAAAGATCAAGGGGAGTTGAGGGAAGGGAAGTGGTTTAGGCTGGTGAAAGATGAAGCTGGACAATAAAACAAAGTTTAGATTTTAAGATGACTTAATAAACTGTCATGAAGAGTTTGGACATGATCCTGAGAGCAAAGGACAACACCATAGGCAGGGGTCAGCCACTTAAGATATTTGTAGACTTGTGGTATTCATTATTTTTTATCCAAATAGCATGGGAAGAACAGGTGGGAATTTTAGGGAGAAATAGATACATCTAGTTAGAATTACTATAGAAATGTAGGAACTAAGTGATGAGGAAAAGCAGAAAAGGATAAAAGAAGATTACGTGGTTATGAGAGATATTAGTAGATAGCAGACAAATTGGATATGAAGGGTTAGTGATAGGGAAGGATTTTGGAGGAGAGCTGGCAGTATAAAATTTACCATATTATCAAGCAAAACTAGTGTCTTAGTTTATTTGATGTTGCTATAAAGGAATACCTGAGGCTGGGTAACTTAAAAGAGGTTTATTTGGCTCACAGTTCTGAAGGCTGTACAGAGCATGGTGCCAGCATCTGCTTCTGGTGAGGGCTTCAAGATGTTTCCACACATGGTATAAGACGAAGCAGAGCCAATATGTGCAGAGATCACATGGAGAGAGAGGAAGCAAGAGAGGCAGGGGAAATGCCAGGCTCTTTTTAACAACCAGGTCTCATGGGAACTAATAAAGTGAGAATTTATTCCCCACCTCCTCACTGCAAGAGGGCATTAATCTATTTATCAGGGACCCCCCTCCACAAACCAAACACCTCCCACTAGGCCACATCTCCAACATTAGAGATCACATTTCAACACGAGATTTGGAGAGGAAAAACATCCAAACTATAGAAAACAGTGTGAGATTAAAAGATAAGACCAAAGGACCCAAATCACTATAGAACCTATTCTGTCTGAGAGCACCTGGCTAGTCCCAAAAACTATCCAAGGGGTGAGGTGATCTCTCGTCTAATATAGGGAGTTGTTAACATTCAGAAGCTGTGTTTTTTGTTTTTTAACAAAAGCACCCTAGTTTGAATTCACTTACAAGGCACTATGCTAGGCATTGGAGGATGTATTGGAAGATATATAGAAGACAAGTCGGAAAACAAGGTATGAAAAGTAACTACCTTCATGGAGCTTATAGACTACTAGGAGAGACAGCCATTGAACAAGTAATTTAAAAAATTATTTATAGTTTGGGAACTGTACAACAGGTAGTTCTGACTAAACTGTATGTGTTTGAGAAACCTTGAGGAAGTAGTGCTTAGGTGGTGTTATGAACCAAACAGGGTTCCCCTTCCAAATTTATATATTGAAGCCCTAATCCCCAATGTGATTTCACCAGAAGATAGGGTCTTTAAGGAGATAATTAAGGCTAAATTAGGTCACAAGATTGGAACCCTCATCCGATAGGACTGGTGTCTTCATAAGAAGAGGAAGAGACATCAGGAGAGTGTGCACATACGGGAAAGACCATGTGAGGAAACAGAGAGAAGGCAGCATCTGCAAGCCAGAAAGAGAGGCCTCACCAGAAACCAATCCCACTGGCATCTTGATCTTGGACTTTCTGCATCCAGCACTGTGAGAAAAAAAAAAAAAATGTTATTTAAGCAGATCAGTCTGTGGTATTCTTTTATGGTGGCCCAGGAGGTCTAAGATGGATGGCATTCTGAGGGACGAGTAAGAATACACTTGTCACATGGGGGCAGCGGGGGAAGGAGTATATCCTGCCAAGGGAAGAGCATGTGCCTGAGGTGAGAGGCCTTGAGGGTGTTGCAGCGACTGAGCGATGTGTGTGGGAGCAAGGAGTGAAGCAGCAGGATCAGAATGGCAGCCTTGGAGCCCAGGTATGTTGATTACTTTGCTTTTTATCTAAAAAGTATTGGAAAACCCACTGAAAAGTTTAAATTAAGGGAGTAACATAAACAGATTTTCTACGAAAAAAATGTAATCTTGGCTTCAGTCCAGAGAACGGGTTGGAAGAAGCCAAGACTCAATGCAGGAGGTGAGGTCAGAGGCCGGTGTAGAAATTCAGGAGTGACAATTGTGGTGGCAGTGCAGGGCAGGGGAGTAGATGGACTCTAGAGTTGCTTAGGAGGGGCCATTGACTTGTTTTGTGATTGGCGACATATTTTGGGATGAGCAGACAGGTGTTCAGAATGGCTTTTGGTTTGGGGGCCTGCTTACCTCAGTGGATGGCACTGTGACTTACTTAGGGAACCATAGAGGAAAATACTTTTAATGGGGAATATTCTCATTCTTGTGACAGGTGAAACCAAGAGTCTGGTGGGTCTGGGAACTATGTTTAGGAGCCACTGATTTTTGCATAACAGGAAACTACTGGCTGCAGATGTAGTAAACAAGATTCATCTGCTGAGAGCCAGGCAGCACTCCAGGTTCAGAAAGGGAGCAGCCTCCAAAGCAGGAGATCTTCTGTTACAGACACTGGTCAACATGGGAGTGTGCACTATGATAGGAAGAATTCGGTGCCCTGGGATCACCCTTCATCCAGATACCAAGTCTCTGGTAGCAAGATTCACTTCACCTTCAATCAGGCTGAGGTGTTGATATTCTTTATACCCTAAGCAGGACTCACTCAGCATCTACACCAAGAGAAGGTATGGGTAATGGGTGATTCCTCCTCCCTGAGCCTGCTCTCTCAACTTCCAAATGAATGGAAGTCCCACTCCTCTCTTGTAATTATTGGCCAGGAAGCAATAGTCAGGCAGCTGATGTATTTACATATGTCTGCATAAATTCTTATTTAACAAATGTTTATGCAGTGCATATGCTTGTAACTTATTTTTTCCTCACAAGAATCTGATGAGGTACATAATATTATTATCATCATTATACAGAAAAGGAAACTGAGTCATAGAGAAAGCTGTGACTCTTGCTAACAAACTCTAGGTATTAAGAAGCATAGAGCTAGGATTTGTTTTCGGAATGTTGGTCTATTCTTACCATACCTACTACAATATTAATTGATTTTTTCCCTTTAATGTGTTTAATTAACTGGAATAACATTGACAATTTATGTTATGGAAGACTCAGATGTAAAAAGGCCTGTATCTAGTCCCTTTTGGTTCAAATGAGCTCCCAGAATTGGGCCCCAAGTAGGTTCCATTATCAATCCCCACATTTTAGCAGGTCCTTCTTAGGTTTTGAAAAAAAAAAAAAAAAAATGTCACATGCCCTTTTAGAGGAATCCCAAGAATAAACCATGGTAAATACAGTTGGTGCCAGACAGCCTACGCTAGAAACTGATTGTGTCTGCTTCGGCAGAGAACACAGACAGCCCTGGCAGAAAAGAAGTACAAGCTGTCCTCCTGTCGCCCCGGCAATGCATCCCAATTTCCACTACCTGCTGTTCCCACCTTCCTTTAGAAGGAGACAGAGAACTCTTGTAAATCTTCTGCTGGGTTTGTCAAGTCAGGTTACAGAATAAAGCAGAAAACTCCCTTGCACTCCAGACTGCTTTGCAGCTCAGTTGTAGCTGCAGTGTGTGTGTGTGTTTCACACCAAGATGTGTCTCTTAAAGAAAGGCTACGGCGAGGTACCATGAACTGTTAGTGGAGAGAAGGGCTAGGGCACCAACCATCCACACAACTATTACCCTTAGGGGATGTTAGCTTTCGGGCTGCTATTTTTAAAAGTAAAGTTAAAAAAGAAACTTAAAATATAAGAAAGTACACAGTTATAATTTGCTCAAAGAGAATAATAGAAGGATAAAATTATAAAAATCAAATAAAGAAAAAATAAAAACAAACAAAATAAATAATATAGATAGCATAAAGGTAAAAGAACTGTTAGACAAAATAAATCTAAAGCTTAATACAAGCAGCATGAGACGCATGGGTGAGGGCAGTTACAGAGAAATAAGGTATTCTGTACTTCCTCCCTTTACCACAAAAAGCACCTAAACCTGGTGCTTTAGGCCTTGAGGCATGAGACCCTTGGAAGGATTGCCTCAGTAGAAAGTCTCAGGCTAAAGCACTAGAATCTAGCACCCCTGCGTAATTCAGACATGTCTTCATACCCAAGGTTTTGAAGGAGGTCTAATCAACACCCAGCTGCCATGGGGCCCCTAGTATCCAGCAGTACAGTAAATACTGATAAAAACCAAATGATCAAGCAGAAATGTCCATTGCCCTCACCTCCATCTGCCTAGAGTTTGCCTTAATTCCACTACTATTGAAGAACATATGGTTTCCCTCTCAATATTCACTTAGATTTTCAGTAAGAAGGTTTAAAGCCACCTATCCTATCTCACAGACATCAAATTTAGCAATACTATTGTTGGTATTACTGATAATAACTGTGGCATTTGTTGCATGGTATTTGATTCTGTGTGTGGCGGGGGGCTGTATTTTGAACATATTTTTTGTCTCTTTTTTTTATTAAATGGCACTGATTTAGGTAACTATGTAGGTAGATTATATTAGCGGCCCTGAGTCTTCACCATTCCCTGTATGAAAGCCCTTTGCCATGTGTATTATTCAGGCTTTGATTTAAATATTAATCTCATCTAGAAACAAGCTCACAGATATACCCCGAATAACGTTTTACCAAATGTCTGGGCACCACATGGCCCAGTCAAGTTGACATATAAAATTAACTAGCCATGTGAGTTTGAAGTTACTCCCACAAAAAATATAAACTCTTTCTTCACCCTTTAACTTAGATTTGGCTATGTGACTTGCTTTAATCATTGAATGTTAGCTGGCATGTCATAACCTAAGGCTTTAAAAGCACTTTCATGTTTCTACCCGTCCTCTTGCATCTCTACTATCACTGTGAGATAACATGTCTGGGATAGCCTGCTGGTCCCAAGGGGAAAATGAGTGACTCATGAAGCAGAACTGAGTTGCCCCAGTTGAACCCAGTCCAAATCAGCCAATTCCAGCTAACCCATAGCCACATTAACTAAACAAAGCCTTATGATTATAAGACTCTGAGAATTTGTTGGTTTCATTATGCAACGTTATTGTGCTCCTAGTTAACCATTGCAGCATCCTTTTTTTAGGCCTTTTTAAAAATCTCTTCTATATGTTTAGTTGTTGTAAATTTTCTTATGATATCCAGTTCTTTCATCTGATTTTTATAACAATACCTGAAATTATTGATAGCACAGATGTTTTACATAGGTTTAATAGCAACCTCATCAATGGTATAATGCTCACTTTCAGTACTGAAAGTTATGTAGGACAAGTTAAACAAAGCCAGCCCTCTGTAAGTGTATAATATAAGGGAGCATATACTTTTATGCAAAGACCTAATGTCTGTAACACAGAGATGTAATCCTGTCAGCCTCCTGTTCAATACCCTTTGATGTGTCTCCACCAGCTTGCAGAATAAAATCCAGAATTCTTAGTCCAGTAGTCAGCCCTATGCCATTTCATCCAAACTCCTCTTTTTGTCTTGAGTAACCTATATGTTGAAAAGAATTAATGAAATACAATTATAAAAGTAACTTACTTTTTAATCTTTCACCATCCCGTTAAACCTGTTTCGTATGTGTACTCCTTCCCCTGCTCCTAGATGCAAACTTAGACAACTTCACAACCTTTTTCTTCCTGTTGGATTTTTTCTTTCTTTTACTCCTTTTAAGTTATATGCATAATCTAAATTCTGTGACTAAATTTTCCAGTAAAACAGATGAATCAAAGCTCAAAAGCTAATGTAAAGTCAAATCTCTTTTCTTTACCTATGCTGGATGCTGTGAGAAACTACTGCTTGCTGTAGAAAAGAGAGATCTTCCTTTTTGTTCATTCATTTCCTCCTTCACTAGTCAACTGCTGTTTCTGACCATGCCAAGGTGGAACCTGGAGTAGGAAGGAGAGAGAGAGGGTAAGGGAAGTCTCATTGACTGACGCTAAAATAAGATGGCTTCACATTTTCTGGTCCTGGCCAATGTTTACTATTTCTTACTCATATTAAACCTCTCTGAATGCATTTAACCATGGGAGCAAGTCCTCTCCCCGAGGTGCGTCCCCCAGATTTCTTTCAGTTCCCAGTGGTCCCACATAATCTCTCACAGCTGGAGGTTCACTCAGTATGTAAGACTACCATCTTGGGTACAATCCCTTTCAAAGCAACTAACCCACTTTAGTTTCCATGGCCAGTCCTTCAAATCTGCATATATCTGACTAGCTATAAGTGGAGCTGTAACTCCCATTTTGCTGCAAAGACCACGGGGCCAGAGTTCGGTTGCAGTCTGACATATCCCTGATGACAGGATACACACATTAAAACCTCTGAGTGGCCCCCCATTGAAATTCTCACTAAATTGATGTGAAGAAGTAATAATGGAAGAGGGAGAGATCCACCAATGCAGGTTTCTCTCAAGAAATCCTTCTATCTAATTTTCCCACTTTTATTTTTCAATGCTTTTGCAATTTGATACACTGAGAAGTTCAAAAGAGTCAGCTAACTGGTTTTCAGCCAAATCCTTGGAAATGTTTCATCTGGTTCAGCATTCTATTGTATATGAACACCTCAGTCAAAACTTCCAATTTGTCACCTGTTTCACTTGTTTCTTAGTATTTCTCATGTGCCTTATTGTTCACTTTTACATGATTCTTGTGGTTCTCCAAACTTTTAAGCATTCATTCCCTCTTATGAGAGTGTTGTTCTTTTATCTGCCCTTATTGCATAAGACTAAACTCTAGTCTTCTTTCAAAGATTCACATACTTGTTTTCTCTTTGATCTTCTGGTCAAAATCAATATTTCCTTCCATGTTTTCAGGACATGTTGCATCTTTGTTACAGCTCTTAATAAAGCATAGTTTATATTCGAGTTCTCAACCACCATATTTCATGAATTCTAGGATAAATAGATTTTCACACTAAAACATATTTGAAATTGACATGCATCTTTCAGTGAATACAGTGATACCTTATAATTACTTGGCAGCATTTTGTTTTGTTTTTCTTCTACTCTGTGTTACATGAAATAATGGTGCCTCTCACAACTGATGGCACCTTAGTAGTTTGCGAATCCCTTAAATTTCAAACTTTGCCTCATTACATTGTGTATATTGCCCAGCAATGAATACAGCGCCTTGCATAAACTAGAAGCTAAAAATTTAAATGTTGAACAAAATGCGTGTTCTATATAGTGCTGGTATACTGTGATTTTCTTTAGTGTCCAAAACATTCCCTATTACAATTTCACTCAAATTAAAGAGGCTTTGATGGGACAGTCACTACCTAAAAAGTAACATTTATTAGTCTATGTGTTGTGATTGGAGCTTTAATGTCATCAGGAAGAAGTTCAATTTGACTTCATTTTCACTCCATTAAAAACCTTGTAACAATGTTCATAAATTAGACCTCCAGAGTCGTAAAAGTATATGTCATAGTTCCAATCTGCACAATTTAGACCACATTGGATATTTAGCATAATTTTAGATTTGGAAATCTCTACCATTTATACACATTAATGTTTCTCATGATTTTAATGAGGGCACACAAATATATAAATTGTATAATTTTGGCCTATCCTGTTGTCAATGACATTCATAAACCAGGGACACGTTGCAGCAATTAGAGTTCATTTGTTTGCTTAAAATGAACACTTTTTTATTGTGAGCTCATCATAGGTTTGCCTCGCCTACATAGAATTATAATTAGATATCATAAATACAGTCAACTAGACCTATTATTTTAGGAAAAAATAAGACATAAGGGAACAAAATAAACTGAAATAGGAGTATTATGGAATGATTGTGATGCTTAAATGTCTTCCTATGCCCAAACCTTAATTACCAAGATTCTCAATTTAAAATCACTCAAGAACACACACATTTACTAACTTGCAGGCAATTTCACTTGTTTAGAGGGGTGTATGAAGACCTTAGAGTGGAAAAGGGAAAACAACAATAAAGAGATGATAAGCCTGCAGCAATAGGCCACTGTACCATACCTCAAATGTTCCCTTTCCTGAATGCCAATATGAAAACATTTGGGATGGGAAAACGTATTTAATGCATATACCAAGTGAAAACCTTCTCCTATGCAAGTAAATATGTAGGTTTCCACTAATCCATTTATTTATTCTTTCATTAACTTCATTCTTAAGTATTTTCTGAGTTTCTCAAGAAACAAAAATAAATTGTTGGAATTCTAATAAACTGTGAGGTAGTTCATCAAAAGATTGGTTAGAGAAACAATAGTTCCTAACTAGAAAATTCATGTTCTATTGTATAAGGTTGTTGTGAGTAAAAGTCATTAGCCATGACTAAGAATAGTTGTTTCCTAAAGTGTCCTCTTTGCACATATATTAATCAATGTTCACAATAACCCTGGAAAAGGTGTTATCATACTCACTTTAGATTAACAAAATTGAGTCAGAACTAACATAGGGTGAAGCTAAGATTTGAATCTTGGTCTTGATGTGTCTCTGTCTTTCATTCAATTTCACCACAGATAAGAAATTTTGCCATAATTCTATTTGTTCTAGAGTAGAACTATTCTTAAGGTTAGCCTTAAGACTATTTTAAAAATTCAAATCCTAAAGGCATTGTGTTTAGACTATATTAGTTATTACTTGGTTTACCAGGATATGCTCTATGTAAAATTTTGCTTTCTTATATGAAAGAATCTTGTAATGATTTAGAGCACTTCAACAATGGGATGAAAATAATTCTAATCCTGGGGCAGGGCCACTGGCAGAATTGCAGAGTTACCCTGCTTTGGAAGAAAGTTTGGACAACTTAGATCTGTAAGGTCGTTTCTAATTTTCATGGTTCATGACAATATTGTATAAAGTAGCTGTGATGAAGTAAAAAGGGTAAAGGAATGAGTCATAAGTTCTAGAGTCAATAGTCAAGAGATCAAGTTTTGGCTTTTAATACAAGCCTGTTTGAGGGTTAACTTATTGATAGCTCTCTGGGTCTCACTTTAGTCAACTAAAAAATAAAATGGGGGGCAGAATTGTGAAGTTCACATAGTCACTATTAAAATTAATTGAGAAGTTAAAAGAAAAATCACATAATAAACTTTAATATACTAGCCACCATATTATGTGTTGATATAAGGCATAGTGGATATAGTAATGCACCCAGAATTATTCTTTAAACTGATCTTTAATAGGAACTTGTCCATTCTCAAGAGAATTAGTCTGTTTCCATTATATAATCCTAAGCCTCTCATATGGTTTTCATCCATTTTTTCTTTTTCATTTACTATTTCAAGTAGAAAAGTCTGTTTTCTCTTTTTTTTTTTTTTTTTTTTTTGTAGTACCATGTTTGAGATTTCTTTAGGAATTCAATATGGGTGACTTTTGTCAGAATAATATAAATTTCCTTTAAGTGTTTGCAACACATTGTTGTTGTTGTTGTTGTTGTTTTTCAGAAGCCTCTCTTTGGGCCTGTGGCTCCATGCTAACCTACAGATAACACTAGAAAGTAACTGTTCCCTATCCCATTTTTACTTGTCTCTTCTCTCTCATGCACCTACTGTTTGAAATGACTTCTTGCTCTGTAGGGAGACCCCCTGAAACTATCGCTACGGAATAAAAGATGAAATCCTCCTGATTATTGTTAAATACAAAATTGCATGCAAGATTGTGTAAAGACAATGCCAGGTTGGGCTGCCAGAACGAGCCAACAGCACGTGATGTGCTTCCCCCTGCAGAGAGCCTATGAATGGACGTGCAGTTAGGGAGGTTTCACATCACCAAGATTCCTATCCCAGAAAAGTAGATGTTCATAGCTCTGGGAATGGAATGTGACCCTTGTGGAGAGCCTATAAATGAATGCATTGGGGGAGGGGGCGCCTGTCCATATGGATAAGATAGGGCTATAAACGCCCTCATCTTGCCACGGCTCTTCTAGGCCTCTTTAGGGTTAAGGCATACTCCCTTCTGAGAATTTCTGGTCTAACCGGTTGTCTAGCTTCACGTCCTGTTTCCATGGATTGTTTGTAATGAGCTTTTGTTGCAATTGTTACTGCTGATTAATATCTTGCTAATCATAGGTTATGGAAAGATTGTGTTTCTGTTTTAAGGCTCTGTTAGAAATTACTGACGCACACACTATATTGTAAATTCTTATCTCTGTATACTGTACTTCTACATACAAATGTACTGTACTTCTACATACAAATGTTATGTTAAAGAATTACTTCATCCCCATGTGACCATCTCACCTCATAATCAAATGACCCTAAATCTCTCACTAACCTATCCCCGCCCTCACTAAACTTAATAATAAATGCTAGTATATCCAGTGCATTGTTGGCACCGCAGGACCAGAAGGCGGTGACCCCCCTGGACCCAGCTTTCATTATCTTGTGTGTGTCTATTTTTTCTCAACCTGCCAATCTGCCTGGGAACAAAGAGAGAGCCCCGTTGCATTGTGGGCTGCTGGCCAGATCCCACAATATTGTTCAGTGTAGAATATACTTGAATGTAATGGTTAATTATAAAGAAGGAAAAGTAACTGTTATACCTGCCTATGCTTTAAAACAAGTATACTTTATGCTTAACGATAATTATTGAAATAAAAATTTCTAGCATTTATTTGCTGCCAAACATTATTTGTTTAGAGACCATGTAGGATTCTTTTCTTGATCTTAAGCCTACTCCACTTCTGATAGTGTAAGAAGGGTTTGTGGGGGAAAAAGAAGAAAATTTCTGGGCCTCATTTCTTCCCTACTTTTATATTTACCTAACTCTCGTAAGCATTTTATAACTTACTAAAACTTATCTGAATAAGAAACTGAAATATTGTAAATAATAAGAGCCCACAATGGAGGTGTTCAGTCTGTGTGGCTCAACAGGGAATAGTCATTACAAACGAGCAGTGACAAGACTAGAGTAGTGGGGTCAAAATCAGGGCCAGAGCTTAAAGGGAAAAACTTAGCTTATGAGGTGTAGGAAAGCTCAACAGTGGTCAGGATCAGAAACTCTAAATTGAAAAAAACAGGACAAAATGTCAACATTCCTTAACTTGTATAGAATAAAGCAACCTTGAGCCAGTGAGAAGATAGTACACAAAAGCTGGGAGGGAAACATGTGGGTCATGACAAATTATTAAGAATAGTGTTAAGTTCTAGCCCCTGGTCAATCTGCTTGTATTCACCTATCCAAGACTGTCAGAATCCCCCAGACTTTTGCAGTAGACTAAAACAGACGAAGGGAGCAAACATTATGCTTGGATGTATAAAACTGATTATTCCAAGATAATGTCAAATCAGTTCTGCCTTGCCCAAGGGGAGACTGTATTGTTCCAGGAATAACATTCAATTGTGGCAAGGATAAGAGAATTCCCCTGATCTATTCCCCTGATCTATGACAGGCTGTGAGACCATGCACCCAAGTCTCATAAAGAAGCAAATTACCAACCTTAATTCTATATTCCTTGAAGCACTAAAATTAACATTTTCGGGGGAGGAAGAAAACTGAGTATCCTACAACAAAAATCTAACTTTTGTCCTTGCAAGAGCATGCTGACTAACAATTTCACATGCTAAAGGAAAAAATTAGCAATAGGAATCTCTTTTGGAGTCTCATAGAACTAGAGCACATATATTCTTCAACCAACTTTATTAATATCTCTAAGGGAACAGTGCATGCTTGACATTGGTTTAAAATGTAGTATCATTAAGTTACTCCAAGTCGATTCTTTCTCATTTCTCTTCTATGTCATTAGTGGTTTGATGGAGCCTGCTAGAATTGCCACAGTGAACAGACTGTCCGAGTCTTAAAAATAAACTCTTGTTGGCAAGGGTTTATATCTGCAATTTGGGGTGGAATTTTGGCACTTGAAAGATCAGCTACTTAAGTGATTTTTTTTTGCATTTGTCTGCATGATAAATTTGTTGTACAGAGTTCTCACATAGAGAGAGAATAATAAAGTGAAAGTCATGATCAGATCATTTGCCTATCTCAAAATCAGCTTTTTAGGATAATTCTTTATTCAGTCATAAATTCTTATACCAAAACATTTTACCACCTTCCTTTCTTTATATTGACATTTTTAATTGTAATTATTTGTGACCTCTTTTCCCTTGTCATTAAAAATACATGTACTTACAAACTGGATTTTGCTTTTAAAGATCTCTTATAGATTAGAATAAAATGTAGCTCTATATTAAACAAGCTTCTTCCACATACACACTTACATAGAAGATTATAAGTGAACTACTATTCAAGCTTAGTTAGTCCAAAATGGAAGCAGTAGTCAATGAAAATATAACTGATTTTATCATAATTAAAATTATATACACATATTAAATATACACATATAAATTATATACACATACTAAATACACATATTATATATACACATAAAAATTATATACACATATTAAATATTTTTTCCAACTTTTATTTTAGGTTTGGTGGTACATGGGTAGGTTTGTTTCAAAGGTATACTGCATGATGCTGAGGCTTGGGTTACAACTGAACGTGTCACCCACATATCAAGCACAATACTCAATAGGTAGTTTTTCAAACCTTTCTCTTTTCCCATCCTTCCCCGATTTGTAGGCCACAGTGTCTATCTTTAAGTCCATGTGTACTCAATGTTTAGCAACCACTTGTAAGTGAGAACATGCAGTATTTGGTTTTTGTTTCTGGATTAGTTCACTTAGGATAATGACCTCCAGCTGCATCCATGTTGCTGCAAAGGATATGACTTCATTCTTTTATATAGCTGCATGGTATTTCACGGTGTATATGTGTCACATTTTCTTTTTCCAATTCACCATTGACGGGCACGTATGTTTCCATGTCTTTGCTATCATGAATAGTGCAGTGATGAACATACGGGTATGTAAGTTTTTGTGGTAGAATGATTTGTTTTCCTTTGGGTATATATCCAATAATATTTGAATAATAAAAGTTCACTTGTCCAAGACTGGTCCCCAGCAAGCTGGCCTCTCAGAAAAGAAGCTGATCCCCTACAAATCTCCTAAAAAATTTACTACTGCCCTGTCCTTGAGGAAACAGGTCTTGGTCCAGCAAATCCTGGGACCATCATCCTCCTCGTCACACCAGAGGAGGAGATAGAGCTTCCCGCAACATAAATGCGGAAGTGGCAAACCCTGCAGCAAGCTTCCCTTGTCATTCAGCTCCACTGTGCGCCTGGGACTGCAGCCCCCTGATTGCATAGTGTTGAGGAGGCTGGTGCTCCATCCTCCGAACATGTGCACTCACTTGCTAGAAAGATGAGGCTGGAGACAAGATTCCTCCACAATCATACTGCTATTGCATCCCAGTCCCTGCTCAAGCCAGGGAATTGATGGAGGGTTCTGTAATTTTCCTGCTTAAGAACTTCCCCAAACAGAGGGACTAGTCTTTCTTCCAGGGTTGGAAGTCTGGCTCGACTAGTCCTCTGTGTCTGCCTGAGAATGCATAGACAACCAGAGTCCCATCTTAGAATGCTGCTCCAGCAAGTCTGATGTGTGTGCTGTCCAGCCACATGCCTTGCTGACATGACATTAATAACAGTCATCATACAACTATTTACTGAGCTAAAGGCAAAAACCCAATGAAGTAATTAAATTGTCTTGAATTTAGAACTGGAATTAAAGTCAAAAAACATTAATTAACTTGCCCACATCTTCTTAGATAATATTGATGAGATCAACTTTTAAACCCAGATTTGTCTTTAAAGTCTTTGTTCTGAATCTATATAGTATTATTTCCATGATTTATACTTTTCAAATAGAGGAAAGTTAACAACTTTAAGTCCTAAACCAAAAATCTTTAAATCACTGTGGACTGAACATAAAATTTTCTGAAATGGCTAAAACCACACAAAATGTCCTCAGGGGATAAGTATTTACAATTTTTCTTGAAAATATAAAGAGGCAGGTGCTCTCATTTGGGGGACTGGAACAAAACAACAAATGGAAAATCACATAAGACACATCTAATTTTTTATTATATTTTATTTTTTCTGAAAAGAGTAGGCCACATTTTACTGAGATCATGGATTTGTTACATGTTACGTTTTGGTCTTCTAACATTCTTCAGTGGATTTTATCTAAAGTAGGTATGTACAGAAAGAGTTGAATAGCAAAAGTGTAAATCATGTAATCATTGTGAGATTTTTGGGTTTGTCACAACTGAGAAATATTGCTGATGGTGGATGGTCCTCAAGTGTGAAAATGTTCCTTGTGAATTGCTTGTATCCAAAATATACACACAGCATTAAGGGCTGGTTTTTATTTTTTATTTTTTCCAATCCTCTTTTCTTCTCAAGGTGTCCAAGTCACACAGAACCACAGAATCTCACAGGTGTCTCAGAATTCCTTCTCCTGGGACTCTCAGAGGATCCAGAACTGCAGCCTGTCCTCGCTTGGCTGTCCTTGTCCATTTACCTGGTCACAGTGCTGGGGAACCTGCTCATCATCCTGGCTGTCAGCTCTGACTCCCACCTCCACACCCCCATATACTTCTTCCTCTTCAACCTGTCCTTGGCTGACATTGGTTTCACCTCGGCCATGGTTCCCAAGATGATTGTGGACATGCAATCGCATAGCAGAGTCATCTCTTATGCGGGCTGCCTGACATAGATGTCTTTCTTTGTCCTTTTTTTTTCAATTATTATTATACTTTAAGTTCTAGGGTACATGTGCACAACGTGCAGGTTTGTTATATATGTATACATGTGCCATGTTGGTGTGCTGCACCCATTAACTCGTCATTTACATTAGGTATATCTTCTAATGTTATCCCTCCCTCCTCCCCCCAGCCCACGACAGGCCCCAGTGTGTGATGTTCCCCATCCTGTGTCCAAGTGTTCTCATTGTTCAATTCCAACCTGTAAGTGAGAACATGCGGTGTTTGGTTTTCTGTCCTTGCAATAGCTTGCTGAGAATGATGGTTTCCAGCTTCATCCATGTCCCTACAAAGTACATGAACTCATCCCTTTTTATGGCTGCATAGTATTCCATGGAAGACATGTCTAATGTTTAAAGGTTGTAAATAAGGCAAATAACTCATAAATAAAACATGTCCTGTTCTCTTATCTTGATACATATACCTTAATAGCAACAAGATCAATGTATATACAAATGCATATGTATGCATAAAGCTGTGTATTTTTATATGACTGCAAGCCAGTAAAATAACAAGAGAGCTTAATTTAATTATTATTGTGCTTTTCTGAATGTTCTCTTTAGGCCTGCTGTGCTCTAACAGATAATAAAATGAAGATACATAATTCACAAATACATATTTTTAATAAATTTATGTTTACCTTCATTTCAGCAAAATCACCAATTATGTAGTTGTAATCACTCTTTTCACATAATTTGGCAATATTTACAGCAATTACAGATTAACCATTCTTTCTTGGAACATTGTAGCTCTTTGATGGTTTGTTTTAATAAGTTTTCATTTAGAGAAACTTCATTTTGTTAGCAAAGTAACACTTGGGATTTTTTAATGACATTTTAAAAACATTCATTATATTCCGAAATTAACCATGAATTTTACAAATTATGTTTATTCATTGCAATAGGGTAGAATTGGATGCATGATTATCATAGAATTTATTGCAAAACATTTTAAATGTATCGTATGAGTCACTATCACCTATGCAGCAATTTCACCTCCTCTTAAAGCAATAACTAGGTTCACAGAGTATTTAAGTTTGACTTTAAAATTTTTAAACACTGGAATATTATAAAGAAAATTATAAAATGTAGTATACAGCTATTTCTTTTTCAAATTTCTCTTTAATTCAAGAATACACTTGATATACGATGTCAAGAAAATAGTCTGTAGAGAAATTATTTGGGGTATCCCCAAATAATTTGTATCTGATTCTTCTCTTCACACTCATATAAACGTTTTCATGTGCTTCTTACTTCTACATATTTTAAAATAATGTCATGTTTGTTACTCGGTTTATTTGAAATTTTTTATGATTTAGGAAAACATTTATTTTCCAGATTTTTACTAAAAAATCAATTTTTAAAAAGTGAAATACTCAAACTTATATCTGCTTGGAGTTTTTTTGTATTCAATAACTGTGAATAGAACAAATTCTTAATAAATTTTCTTTTCCATGAAAGACCATGATTTACTCTTTACTTGATGATCTTTTGTTATTTAGCTCAAGTATTCTGATATGCCTCATATCTTTTATAAGTTAAGTCAAATTAGTTTAACATTCATGAAACGACATTTCCTCTCATGTCCAAGAATCCTTGGGAAGAAACCCAGCAGGGAGCGAGTTAAGGGAAATGCCTTCATGGCCTGTTCTAGCTCTCCATTGGCCAAGGTTAGTGGAAGCCAGAAAGCACAGATAGAAGCTGTTGTTATGCAACCCAGAGCCCTGAGATCCCTCTCAATGATATGGTTGGTGTGCTAATTCCTCAGTTGCTGCAGGTGCTTCTGCTATAGACTTACACCTGCATCCTTCTCAGAAGGCTTGCCCTTAGGTGACTGAGGTCGCCTTACCTGGAGGTGCCTGGGAATTATACATTCTTTCCCCATCTAGGGGCCAATGGCCCAGAACTGACTGGAGAGGTGCTGCAAAGTCCCTGTTTCCTTGTCCCACGTTGGAAAAGACTCTGCATCAGAATTTACACTACAGAACTTTCCATGGGATCATGCCAAAGCTAGATTTCACCTGAAACCACATTTTTCCATAGTTCCTTTTCATTCCATGTCTGCCTCCCTCACTCCCCTGAAGGTTGCTCCTGGGAGCACTCTCTCAATACATCATGTGTACTCAAATACCCACGTCAGGATCTATTTCTAGAGAACTTGGCCTGGGAAAGCCTGGTGGCCTGTGGAATGTAGCCCTGGAAATCAGCCTCCGGAGTAGAGAACAGAGTGAGAAGGGCATAGAGTAGACCTGAAGGAGTACATGGAAGATTCTGACAAACTGGGATACTGTGCAGCTGTGGGAGGCACTGCTTGTTGCCATTTCTAAGTATGCTACTCCAGTCTTCCTTACTAACACTTTCTACATTTGTTAGAGAGTGAAACAGAAATAGCTAGGTGTCACAGTTCAGGTCAATGAGATGCTGGCAGAAATCTCAAGGGGGACGGTGAGGGGGAATTCTCTCTTCCTAATCAAACAAAGCTGCACTAGGAGAAAGATGTCTGACCCTTTTTCTGTTCCTCTTCTTCAGTCTGGAACACAGGAGCTGGAAGCCTGGAAGGGCAACAGCCATCTGGTGACCACGATCTGAAAAGCATGAGGACGAAAGACAAGATGTTAGGATTACACAATGAAAGAGATTTCAGAGTCTTTTGTGTCAGCCTGGACTGCCTACCCCTCAATATCTGGTCATGCAAGAAAAATAAACCCTTCTCTTTTTATACTACTCTTGGTCAAACTTTCCATTATTTGTCATCATTTGTAACTTATTCCTATTACAGCAGCCATTAGAAGAATAAAGTAGAGTTATACCAGAGACTCAGAGTTTTATTTTATTAGAGCAACACCCACCTATAACAAAAGATTCACACCTTTTACCTCTAAGCATTCAGTCCAGTTTACGGTTTCTGCACCAAGTGCACTGAAAAACAAAGCCTAGCGCTCTGGCAGGACATATCAATGTTTTAATCAAGCATAGACTCTTGATTCTGTGGCCTGAGACAAACTATCTGGAGAGTATAAAGGCCATTCAGCATGCAGAACAATTTTAACAGGTGCAAGAAAATTAGCCAAATGGAAATGGGCTAAGGCTGAGGCTAATTCTTCACGTCTTATCCAAAAATTTGTTTGGGAATTATTGACCAGTACAAATGCTCCTGGCTCTGGTTTCAAATCTTGCTCAAGAGAGGAAATAAGTCTTGTCACAACAAAGTATCCAAGTGCCTTTTTGGCAGATATTGTACATGTTTTCCAGGAGGAATAGTTTTCTGGGTCAAGTAACATTCATATTACAGGGACACAGACACAAATGCCTTATTTAAACAGCAATGCACAATTTGATAAGTGCTAATACTTCTGACAAGTGTTAAAGTTTAGGATCTATTTTTTAAGCCCTTGTGGGTAATATCTCTTTGCCTCTGTGACATATATATAATTTTATAGTCAAGTACCAGAAGCTATAGCTCTGAGATTGAATTGAATAAATTGAGGGTAGGAGAATTATGAAAAATAATGAAGTAACAATAACCAAAACTAATTTATCACAGCCTAAATGAATATGCAAAAGATGTAACATTCTAGTTTTCCAGCAGAGGTGATGAAATTTTGTTTAGTCCAAAAAAGATGCTTTACAAGATGTTTTTATGTTCCAAAGTAGACCATCAGAATATACACTATACATACTACACATACATATACATACACACACACTTCATACACATATATGCACCTCATCCCCTATAATCTTTCATTTATTTTATAGCTTGAAGCTACTGTTCTCTCTAGCTTTGAACGGTTCTTTATGACTCCCATTGCTGAAAACAAAATTCAGCCAAAATTTGTATGGGGGAGAATCAACCCTGAATGATGTAAGAAATGTATTCCCAGATAAATTATAATTTCTGGATGTAAAATGCTATTATAAGGAGGAAATTTAAAGTTTGTTCTTACCAACTACAAAAACAATGAGTCTGACTTCCTTAGAAGAGTGTACAAATCAAAACTCATTTGACTAATGTGTTTAATACAATCAATGACTACATGGACAAGCAATTGATAGAGAAACACTATTTAAAAAATATTTTCAACTTTTATTTCAGATTCAGGAGGTGCATATGCAGGTCTGTCACATGGGAACACTATGATGCTGAATTTTGGGGTAGAGATGATCCCATCACCCAGGAAGTGAGCACAGCATCCAATAAGCAGTCCTTCTGCCCTCACCCCTCTTCCCTCTGGAAGTCTCCAGTGTCCATTGCTCCCATCTTCACTTCTGTGAGAAATACTCCTTTTTGAGAAAAATGTTTGGTTTTGTTTTATGTTCTCAATACTCAAAAAGTTTTCATGCAGGGTGTAGATATTAGCGAACCACAGAAGAGGGTTCATCTTCTAGTTCAAGTGCATGGGCTACTTCATTTCCTGTTCATTCACTCATTCGTTCATTTAAAACAGATATTGACTAATTACTGTGTGACTAGCTAGGTACAGGGCTTCAAAGACATAAATGGCAAAATTCCTGAAAGAGCTTACAGCCAACTTAGTAGCAAATGCAAATCTATAAGGGAACAATTACAATTATAAATATATGTACGATAGACACACACAAACAAGGCTGTGTCATTGTACAACTCCAGAGGGAAATGTAGAAAAAGAATGTCAAGAAAAGCTTCACAGAAATATTTAGGCAGAATCTTAGAGAATCAGTGAGAATTTGTCAACTTAAAATTGAGTGTAAGAAGAGAATACCAAATGAAATGCATTGTATAGAATATAAAAATTGTTATGGGAATAATTGTAAGCCTAAGTCTGTGGAGTGAGGCCTGGTCATTAAAATCCTTGTTGGTCACATAAGGATTTGGATTTCAATAAGCAATGGGGCCTTATGGAAGGATTTTAAGTATGTAATATGAGCATTTACGTATTTTAAGAGCATGACTTTGACAAAGGTAGCTATATTGGAGGGGAATGATGGTTGAAACAAAGACAGAGATAGCAGGGCAGTAAAAGAGTCACTTTTTGTATTCAATAACTGTGACTAGAACAATATCCAATAATATTTTAATAATAAAAGGTCACTTGTCCAAGACTGGTCCCCAGCAAGCTGGCCTCTCAGAAAAGGAGCTGATCCCCTACAAATCTCTTAAAAAATTTACTACTGCCCTGTCCTTGAGGCAATAGATCTTGGTCCATCAAAGCCTGGGACCATCCTCCTCCTCTTCACACCAGAGGAGGAGATAGAGCTTAACTGGACTAAAACAGCTATTTCAGTGATACAAAGTGGACAGTGCTGTGAAATGTTTAGATGTAGAAGTTGGTGGGGATAAAAGCTGATAAATTATCTTAGATTTCTACTTTGGAGAGTTAGGCAGATAATGGAGCATTCAATAGTATAGGAAATATAAAGAAACAGGCACATGACAAAGAGTAAATAAGATAGTTCAATTACGGTTATTCAGAACACACAGGTACAATTTTCTGGTGAGTACTGAAAAATATAAATATGAACCTCAAAAGAAAGGTAGAAAATGGAAAATAACTTGGAGTAAGAGTAGAATTTAAAATAAAAGGATTGGATGCAATCTCCCTCATGGAATGCATTATTGAAAACAGAAGAGAATTAATGATAGATCCTTAGAAAATGTTCCCATTTAATGGTTAATCCAGGAATGAGAGGACGTTAATTTTAATTACATCATTATATCTACTTTACTTATGTCTTTTTGTGTGCCTTTATTATTTGTTTGAATATTTCAGTCTGGATGAAATTCCATTCAATTGGCCAGTATAATGGAAAAAAAGCCTGAATTTAAATTTCATATCAATAAGTGTACTAAATATTTTCAGAGGAGTCTCATAAAATCAATATGAACCTATATTAAAATATTATGCACTTTTTTATTTGCATCAAGAATTTTGAGACTTTTGGAAGATAGAAGTAGCATCTGCATAGTAACTTTATACAGATATATATTTTAAATTTCTCCAAACTATTTTAAGACTCTAATACAGTGTTAACACAATTCTTTACGGTGATCAGACCTTAGATTATCAATTCAAGAATGAAAATCTGGAAAGCTGCCTAGGAGAATATAAAAAACATAGAAACCTGTCTATGAAAAGAATCCCATTTCTAGGTATATAAGTTTTAATGAATATTTATCACTGGGTTAATAGTCTTTTTCATTTTTTTTTAATTTTCAGGGAATCTTAAGGGAGATAAAATATTAAGAAACTAAAGGTTTCCTATTTGGAGAACAATAAGAACAACAACAAAATACAGTGTCTCATTTATTAATTGAAAAAGAAAAAATTAATTGAGATGGTGATTTTGTATATATGACATCAATAAATGTTACTTTATTGACTTAGGACAATGTAGCTTTGTCATTGACAGAGAGTGATAGCTTTGTAAGAGTAACTACTGTCCCAGTTTTACTTTCTTACTGTTAAAGTAGTAGACAGAAGAGAACCTTAAGATTAACATATCTTCTGGCAAAACACTTTCTAAGCCTTAGCATTTGGCACTGTTTTCCAAGTATGTTTCTGCCCAAGAAAATTCAAGAAAATCATTTATAAATTTCCTTTTTATATGTATAGTTTTATATACCACATTGCCTCATTTGATACTCAAAACAACCTATAGCATAGACAAAGAAGATATAATTATTTCAACTTTAGTGATGAGAAAATAATAAAATAAATTAGTATTTTTTCAAAATGTAGCATGTTGCAAGCACTGTGCTATGAGCATTCATCTGTAATTGATCTTATCTTCACAGCCAACTATAAGATTAATACTATTTTTAATTTTAGTAGCCAGAGGAAGAAACTGAGTTTTAGAGGTTTGGGAAGTTGTCCAAGGTCACATAGCTAGTGAGTGTTAAAAATGGGACCCAACCAGTTCTGTCTGATGCTAAATTCTATGTTCTTAACTTTTGTTCTTCTTACTGTACATGAAATGGCTTTGCAGAGTTCTTGTCAAAGAAGAGTATTTAGGAAGAGTTACAGAATATGGATATTGTAGCAATTGTGAATCACTTTGAAACATATGGCTACTAAATGGAAGAATTGGAATTGAATTCAGGTTTCTGACTCCAAATCATGGGACCCCAAGTCTTAATCTCTGTAGGGTACCCTACATACTGAAACACTTGAGTTAAACAGATGACCAAGTTTACAATCATCCATTAACTCCTTAAATCAGATGGAAAAGTAATTGCCAACTTTGAATTTTAAATTTTCATATCATTATATGATTATCTATGCTGACACCTAGAGTAGTTAAATTTATTTAGCACTGATGAGTACTCTATCTAGGATTTAAGGACAGTTGACAAAATTTCACTTGAACACTAAACCCGGAAGAGTCATGGCAATAATGATGTCTTAGGAGTATTTTTTATGTTACAGGCACTGAAGGTAATGATTTATCAACATTACCTTCTTTCTTTATTCTTAAAAGCATCTCCATTGTAAGTTTATTTTTTATATATTTGTCATGTTGTAAGTTTATTCTTTATATATTTAAATCTCAAGAGACATCAGGTTTTCAAGGGAACCAGTGTCCAGGAAATGAAATCAGGCTTCAAGAGTTAATAGAATGTCTAAGAGATTTCCAGAAGCAATATATGGAGTTTACAGCAGAATTTAGTGAGACCAAACTGGCTGTATGATTAAAAGGTATTCTGGTCATTCCTAGACTGGGAAGGTGACTGGAACTGAGACATGTTCAACCGAATGTCTCAGCCCAGGCCTTCTCTGGGCAGAATGCATTTCACCCCTGTGCTGGCTGTGCTCGCTAACCAGAACCATGTTTTCAGTCCAATGACCCCCTGAGACAGTATGCTTTCAAGGCCTTCGGCTACAAGGTTTGGAAAGTCCTCCACTTTGAAATATATTGCAAAAATTACACCATTATGAATAACAAAGAGAAAGCATTAGAACTCAATCCTATCACAAGACAAAATGTGCTGAAAACGTACATACAGGGTAACTGCCTGTTTTTATTCGGTTGCCAACTGTATGATATGAAAGAATCAGTTTGCTCACCTAGTGATTATATATGAAGAGGAGTAACAGCTTCCAAATTAAAATAATACTCTTCCTTTGGTGAGTGTACATGAGCATAATATTTCATGGAATTTTTTCCCCAGACAGTTAAATTAACTCATTGGAAATGTAGCATACTAAATGATTCCTTCCAAAAAGTAACATGTAATCATTTCTTTTTCAGGCTTGATTAAATTTCCTCTGCCTGTACAAATTTCATATCTGCGCCCAAATTTTATGTATCCATTTCTGATCATTGAACAGAGCACAGACCCTGCATGATCCATCTCTATTATTAGGCAAACTCAAGTAACAGCAGTTCTAGGGCATTGCACTGTAATTGGGGTTATGTTCTAAGGAATGCTATCTACATAGGCTATGTGAATGGCACATACTCCCCAACAATCATACAACAGGATCTCATTTTTATCTAGTAATAGGAGAGCAGTCTAACTAAAGCAGGTCTTTACTGTAAGTGAAATGCATAGCCAACTCAACCTTTCCCATCCCTGCCCCTGATGACCTTCTCAGTAATGTAGAGAAACCAGATATCCTAAATGATCTTATCTCACCTTATCCTTGATCTCACCACCTAATATTCTAATCCCAGCACTGCATGCTAATAATGTAAGTTGTCCATCAATACACTGAATTATTGTTATTCAGGTTTAATATACAGGGCATTCCTATGCAGAGCTGGAGACCAGAGCAGAATCTAAAGCAGATTCCAGTAGACAAGCTAGAATGAAAGGGAGATTCCAGTGATGGTGGTAAATTAAACCAGATTGGGAGCATTTACATTCAGAGAGTCACCACTTGTTCCACCAGCAACATAGAGACATGCTTAAACTATGAGGACAGGCACAGTAGCCGCCGCTGTGGCAATCCTGCCAGCCCTCCTTCTGCGGTCACTTCCCCAGTCACTGCACTGACCAGCTCTTCAGCCACAAGGGGAAGGAACTGGGGATACCACAGACCATTGCCAGAACTTTGTTGTGGAATCATAGACAAGTGACAGAAATAAAAACTAAATGTGAAACTCTATAGCACTTATTATAGTTGATTATTGCCTACTCCTTTAGTTTGAAAGCATTACAAGCTATGTAGCAAGTTTATGAAACTCTTTAGCTGGCATATAAACTGATTTGGCATTTATTTTTACTCAAATATGTGTGAAAAACATTAGAGAAAAATCAGCAAAAAAGGATTTTCTCTCTTAAACAAAATTAAAATTAGGGATATTAGAAATTAGCCATATCCAAAAATCATTGTAGTTTAATACTCAGAAATAATGACTGATACTTTTATCCACACCTAACTTTCAGTGAACTCATAGTAAGAAATAAATGAAACCTCGGCGAAGCTATTAGGACATGTCATTTGAGAAAGCAATACCTGACCTTTGGGATTATATGAGATACTCCAGTGTCTTTGTAATACAGTCCCCTTCTTCTGCTTAACTTTGTTTGAGTACAATTTGTCATTTGCAAACAAAAAGAATACCAACCGACAAACTGGAATAGTGAGATTTCCCATGCAGATTTCTAAGGTTTGGGTCATTTTTTTGAAAAGGGATTGGCACACAGTAGGCATTTCATAAATGGTGGCTGTTAATGGCAGAGTAAATTGATCATCCTAGGTTGACATTATGTGTTTTATCCTCAATGAAATAAAGGCAATGGCTATTTTGTAATGTTGGAACCACAGAAAGAGTGACAGATTGGTGAGGGATGAGGACATTGGATGTAGAAACAAAATTAATGCTGGTGGTCAAAAGATGGCAGATGTTAAAGCTGTGTCACTGTCATGTCCCAGTCAGCTATGCTGCCATGTTAATTCCAGGTGTAGCTGTTTAACAACACACAGTGCCTTCAACTACGGTTAGGGTTAAAGTTATGTACAGAATGAGACTCAAACTGAGTTTAATTCTAAAAAAATTTGATTTAATAAAGGCTCTCTTGTAAAATTTATATATAAAACTAATAAACGTTTAAGCTAACTTCCAAGAAAAATGTTAATTCTTTGTTAAAAATTGGAATAATTGGCATTCTAATAATAAACAATCTATTAAAAAACTCGTTTAGGGTAAGAGAGACTATCCCATAATAGGATTAGGCCAGTCATGTTGAAAATAAGCGAACAATATTTCTATTTATTTATTTATTGAGATAGGATCTCACTCTGTCGCCCAGGCTGCAGTGCAATGGTGTGATCTCGGCTCACTGCAACCTCCACCTCCTGGGCTAAAACCATCCTCCCCCCTCCACCCCCCAAGTAGCTGAGACTACAGGCATGCACCACCACACCTGGGTGTATTTTTTGTAGAGCTGGGATTTTGGCATGTTGCCCAAGCTGGTCTTGGACTCCTGGACTCAAGCGATCTTCCTGCCTCAGCCTCCCAAAGTGCTAGGATTATATGTGTGAGCCAGTGCACCCAGCCATATTTTACTTTTATTCATTGATTTAAATTAATGAAAAGTTGAACTATAATTATTTTATAAAGACATGAGGTTAAAAATCAGGTATCTAAACTCAAAAGCAACTAAATATTAATCTTGTCTGTACACAGGACTTAATAATATGATTTAACTATGCATATGAAAATATAGCACATACAAACCTGTCCACATGAATGAGTTCAAATTGTCACCCCTAAAACTGTCTTTATGCTCTGAGAAAAAAAAAGTATAAAATAAGAAATACACGCTTAAGGGAAAAAATAGTGTGTGATAAACCATGATAATAGATAAACGCGGTTATGATCTCTGTCACACATTCTCATCACAGTCATGTAGACATTTGTGGTTTAATTGTGTTACAATCATCTTTATATTAAAAGGTTGAAGACTGAGTGTAGATATTTTTAATCAAAGAATTTTACCTTAAATAGAAGGAATGACATATACTTGTATGCACATGATGACTGACATCTCTAGTTCCTTTCCGAAAATAAAGCATCTGCTGTCATAATTTGAAAAATAAATAAGCAAAATGTCTGCATTTTGGAGGATACATGAGCAACGCACTGAAAGCATCCCTCTATAGTTTACATCTAGTACAATTTCCAATCAGTAGAGGGCTCCCTCGTCTGTGCAAGGCCCACAGTAAAAATGCACAGTCTATACATGCAGCAGTCACACATCATGTGCGTGTTCGCGCACACACACACACACACTCTGTCTCTCTCTCACACACACCATCTAGATTAATAAAGCTGTCAATTTTCATTGTTTTCAAATCACCTTTAATATCAGTTGAGTTTAAAGCTTAGGGGAAGGAACACACAGGCAGCACCCATTGGCAATATGTTAGAACATTCTCTACCTAAAAATACAGATAGGTGTTTACAAGTTTTCTTCATTTCGCTGTGACATTCCTCAGCTCTGATGTGCATTTGGCTGCTTTCCTGAATTCACACATCTCTCTGCTCATGTGCTTGTGCATTTTGCAGAAGTGTCACTACCCAAGCTTTGCAAAATAACGAACTCAATCTTCTAAGTGACTTTGCTGAGGCTATGTCTTTATTATGCCCTCCAAAACTTGAGAGTCAAAAATAAAAATTAGAAAAATGAAGCAACTAGTAATGTTTGCTTTTGACTGAAGTCACTGAGTCCAGCTGTATTTTTTCCCACTGAAAAATAGATGAAGACATCCTAACTGGGTTGAGTTTTATTTGGGATTTTTTTCCCCTCTCCTTGGCCCGTAGGCTAGCTGATTCACTGATGCACAGTGAAAATGCCAAGAATATGCAAACCTCTCTGGGGTAGAAATTTGTAACAGAAAGGGAATTTCTGGCGGTGTAAAAGCAGGGCTGGAATAATCTCAGACTGTACCCCCAGGCCAGTTTTCGTGATACAGTTAAAAACTGGTTGGGCCGCCGGCAGAATCAACTGTTTAAACATCTTGCTGATTGTTTATGGTAGTTGCCCAATAGATGCTTAAAAACATTGGTTTTCATGGACTTCTGGTGGAAACCTCTTATACCCAGCTGATCCTAGGTTATTATTCATATATTTGCTCAGTAGCCAGATCCAAGAATTCATCTGGAAACTCTCAAAGGAGAGAGAAGAGAAAGAGTCTATGATTTTTCAATTCTAGAATCACCATGTCTGAGAAATTTTTCTTGCTCACTCTTTAATGCTCCCCAGAAGGCCCTCTGCTTAATAATCTCACCAGTTTCTTTATATGTCATATATTTCCATTGTCTACTCTAGCCTGCAGTTTAAAATGGGGACATTTTGAAAGGAATGTGCTGCTTTTTGCCCTTTATCCCACTTGCTCTTGCTGAAGTTCAACCTTGAAATGCCTCATCCCATTAGCTATATGCTTCCGGGCATTTCCAGAAGGCATCTCACATATGCTTGAAACAGGTCAGTCAGCTCTCAGGTGACAACTACGAGATACAACAACAACTTTGGTTCAGGATTAGGAAGCCTGATTATGCCACAGATCTGAACCTTGTTGAGCAATCCAAAACTCCTTCCAGTGAAGCAGATATTTTGATCTCCTCTCCAAAGCTTGTGTTGATCTCTCCATTGGTTTCAAAACTGGAGTGGAAGAAAGAAGCATGATTAATCCTAACTATCTCGGCTCTCCAATCTCAACAGCTATGTACTATGATGTTCATAAAGAAACTAAGATTCAGAGAGGTTAAGCAACATGCAAAAATCATCCATTAGTAAGCGACAGCCCCAGAATTCAAATCCACGCTTTCTAAGTCTTAATCCTGTGCTTGTTTCACGGCTCCTGTAACATTAGATAAGAAGCTTACCCTTGCTCTGCAAGGGTTCATATAAAGATTAGGATACTTCTGCCTATAAAACATGAGATAAAAATATAATGGCCTCATAGACTGAAACGATACACAATTCTAAATAAAAATCAATTCTTTATTTTGATATTCAAAGTCACCTACTCTTTATGACCACTACCCTCATTGCAAATGCCCCTATTCTGATGTGCTTTTCCATTAAATAAGATTTACACCATCCTTCTTTGGAGCCTTTGCTCATGCAGACCTTCTCACATTCCCTCTATTTTATTTCTCATTCATCCAATTCTCATTCATGCTTCAGAACCTTGCCTCTAACACCTTTCACCAATTAGCTCAGGTTTTCCTCTGACAGCTATTGTTGTAAACCTCTCAATTTGCATTTATGCATTCTTCATGTTATTTGGGAATTTTGCAAGTGGATATACAATTTTCACATGTCTGGATAGTAATCTCTTGAGATTATGAGTAGTCTTCACTATATATGTAGATATTAAGTGAGCTTATTTATATCAGATATAGACCATACAATCTCATCACTTATAGATGCTTTTTCACTGTATTGATAGATTAATGCTCCCCTTTAAACATACCTCTAAACTACTCAAACTCTATAAATGTATCTCCATATATCCCTGCAATTCTCTTTTTGAAACTAGAACAAATTAAGGGAATTGTTTCTAAAAATTTGAGCTTGAGGTAGAAAAGAGGAAGATGAAAAAATAATAAGTAACATTTTAAACTTTTTCTTACTCTGTTCTATATTCAGAAAATGTTTTAATGATACAATTTTGACATCAGTAGCAAGACAAATTTCCTTTCTTTTAATCACCAAGTCAAAGAATATTTCCATTGAGCTGGTTTCAATGAACAGAGAACTCATATATTTCCACTGACTAACAAAGGAATATTGACATCAAACATATATATTTAATTATGGATGAATATCAATACATGAGCATGGAGTCCTTAGGAAAATTACAAATGCCGAAGTACTTTGTAGAGTATTGCATAACTGATTTTATCAGGCAGAATAGCGGATGGATCTTATGCTCTAAATATTTAAATTTTGGGGACAACAAGTTTTCTTTCATGGTCATCATTTTTAGAAATCTTTCTATAACTTAGGGAAGTGTTATAAATAATACAGAGTGGGAATATCCTAGGGAGAAATGAGAATTTCTGATTCTAAGAGGGACAGTAAATAATTTCATCTCATGTACCAAATCTGAGTGGTTGGCAGTGGCTGTCGAGACTTTAGAGTGCTATGTTGATGAGGATTCTGGGTCTGGGGCCAGGCTCTGTCATGTCATGAGTGATTAGTAATGTTTGCAATAAATGCAGAATTGTAAGGGAAAGCACATATCATATTTTGCCACTGCTGCTGTATTGCTGAGATTCTGCCATTTTTTTGTTCTTCTTTGGTGTCCAGGAAGGGCTTAGACCCATGAATGTTAACATTATAATGCCATATGGGGACATACAGTAAAAACACATGAAAACCTCCATGTTCGGGGTATGCCTATCCTGGGATATGAATGGTAGTAGATCCTAGGCAGTGTTGTGTGAGTAACCAGATTGCCAAAGTGATGGGGCGAGGGATGGGGAGAAGGCATTTGCTGGTTTCCATGCTGTAAAGACTTTTGCCCTGGCTGATTCCAAGCCACCAATGTGAGGTCATTAAACTCAGAGCTGGAAAGACATGTGTATAGCCCAGGCCAGTATGAGGAGGCTACAGCCAACCAGTAATTATAAGTGAACTTCTAGGGTTCAGGGTGCTGAGTAAACCCTGGGCCATAGAATGGAGGATGGACATAGGGATCCAAGGAAGGACCAGAAGGCCATAGACAGATCAGCTGTGTGCAGCTGGGGAACAGTATCAGCTATAAATCAGAGCTCAGGCCAACATTTCAAAGTTATAACAACATAAGAATCAGTTTCAATGCCACCCTCCAAAAACATACATTTTACCTTATCTACCAATATAATGCATCTTCCAGGTCCATATGCTGAGACAGCATAGTATATCAGTAATGAGCATGTTTTTTGTTTTTGTTTTGTTTTCTTTTTTGAGAGGGAGTTTCGCTTTTGTTGCCCAGGCTGGAGTGCAATGGTATGATCTCAGCTCACCGCAACCTCCACCTCCCGGATTCAAGTGATTCTCCTGCCTCAGCCTCCCGAGTAGCTGGGATTACAGGCATGCGCCAACACGCCCAGCTAACTTTGTATTTTTAGTAGAGACAGGGTTTCTCCATGTTGGTCAGGCTGGTCTCAAACTCCCAACCTCAGGTATCTGCCCGCCTCAGCCTCCCAAAGTGCTGGGATTACAGGCATGAGCCACCACGCCCGGTCCTAAGTGCATGGTTTTTAGAGCCAGACACCATGGGTTTGAGTTCTAGCTCCACCATGTATTAAATATTAGCTCCGAAACCTTGAGAAAATTACTTAACCTCTCTGTGCCTCAGTTTTCTCATCTATTAAAATAGGGATATTAATAGTACCATCGGGTCATTTAAAATTAAATGACTTAGTAACTGTAAACCGCATAGAACAACATGTGCATTTACTGCATGGAGACTGATGCGTAAGTGCATAATAAAGGTACATAAAATGTAGATTTGCAACTTTTATCAAAATATCATTTTCAGTATATAATTTGCCCTTGAACTTAGGACAGAGGCACAGGATAGCTATGATAAAAATGCTCACTAGTGTAACTGATTAACTCTACATTTATAAGCATAACAATTTCACTTGTCTTTCTATATCATCCCATTTATCTTGGGAAGATAAGTAGGAATAACAATTATAATAGCAAATATACACCATTTTTAAAGTTCCATTTTATAGTAATTTAGATTTTTTATGGCAAATTTAGTAACAAGGCCAAAATTGAGATGTTTTTATTCTTACAGATTTCATTTTACATTGAAAAGTGGCACTGTTTTTCTTATGTTGAAGAGTTTACTGAAGAAACTTCATATCAGAGATTTAGTGTTTTAATCTATAACAGATTGTGCATATAATAAAGGACATTTTTTCCTATTGGAAATCTAAAAAATATGTCAATTTCTCAAACATAAATTCGTAAAATAAAAATTCTGGCAGTGGTCAAGCTCATTATACCACAATGATCCTGTTTTCCTCAGCAATAGATTTAACCTTCTAACTTTGTAAATTTCACATTTAGCCAAGTTTTTAGCTAAAACAAGTTGAAATACAGCAGAAAGAACCTTTCCTGCCAGTTCTATTCAGTAGCATGTTAATCAGATTGCAGTAATAAGTATGAAACAATGCATGCAATTAGCAGTGGTTAATTTGAAACTACTTCATGTCAGTTTCTTTCAGAGCAATACGTTAGTAGAGTAATTATTTATTACCCTGAGGACATGATCAATGATATCCTTCCATAATAACGTCTGCAAAAAGAGTAGGCATCTTCATTTGCATAAAAAGGAAGCTATAGAAACTGTTTTTTTTTCAGCTAAATAAAAGCAGAAAACTGTTTCTAAGCTCTTTCCAACCATTTCGTTAGTAGTAATAGATAAGCAAATCATTTGTTACACTTCAATATTTTTATGGTAACATAATGGTGAGGGGAAAAAAACAGCATTAATGATTTAAATCCACAAAGACTATCTTTACTGAGAAAGAGGAAAATGACCCATTTCTAAATGTCATTGTTGTCATTAATGTATATGTGCTAGTCCCTTCCACACACATGATAATTCACTAGTTCCTTAGCTGGAGCTTGAGGATAGAATTTATGGCAAGCCCTAAGTGATAGCAAACACGTAGTCTACACAGCTGAGCCATGGTTGAGCAAAGGCAAGAAAAAGATGTCAGTTTAACCAGGTGGCCACAATTAGATGGAGCAGTTAAATAATCGGGAAGGTGATATTAGAGGATACCATCTTGGCTTTCAGAGTCCACTGTGTATTAGGCAAGAAATCCTGTATGTCTTCATATCCAATTAATTCATCTTATTATATAAAATACCCATCTTTCTGAGGAGGACAAGAAAAATATCTCACCTTTGGAAGTAGTTAGTCTGGACAATGGAAGAGAGGAGACTGAAAAATGGAATAGGCTGGAAAGGCCTAGTACAGCAGAAATTGTTAGAAGGTGCACAAGTCTGAGAAGGATCCTCCACATTTTACAACCCCAGGGGCCTCCATTCATTTGGAGAATGGCATTCTACCAGTTGGGCAGTTGACAGCCTGCACATCTACATGTAAGGGACCCAAACTAAGACAATGATTTGGGGCAGAGGTCGAGGTCAAATTTCAAAGTAGGAGGACCAAATGAAAGACACAGGCAGGTTTTAGAGTTCAAGTGAGGTAGGGGTCTACAAATTCTATTCAAGATGTCCTCAGTATTTAGCCATTTGTGGAAGGATTTGTAGCTCTAATAGAGTCAAAGACAAAGCTAAACCGGTGAAATTACCAGTCATATTGTACCTTATGTACAGAAAGTCAGCAGAGTATCATGTGTGGAAGAAAGAAATTTTCAAATGTATAAAATGAAAATAGCCGGGCGCGGTGGCTCACGCCTGTAATCCAGCACTTTGGGAGGCAGAGGCAGGCGGATCATCTGAGGTCGGGAGTTCGAGACCAGCCTGACCAACATGGTGAAACCCCGTCTCTGCTAAAAATACAGAATTAGCTGGGTGTGGTGGTGCATGCCTGTAATCCCAACTATTCGGGAGGCTGAGGCAGGAGAATGGCTTGAACCCAGAAGGCAGAGGTTGTGGTGAGCCGAGATCGTGCCATTGCACTCCATTCTGGGCAACAAGAGCGAAACGATGTCTCAAAAAAGAAAAAAGAAAAAGTGAAAATAATAATCTTTAATAAAAATATTTGCTTTTAAAAGTTTTGAAAGGATTACATGAGAATTGTGTACATGGTGGACTTCTAGGTTACAACCGCTCAGCTCCTTTTTGTTTTTCCAGGAATAGTGTTCCCTTTCTATGAGAGCCATCCTCCTTCCACACCATCATTTCTGCTGGGTATTGTTATACTTGTATATTACTCAGGCAACTTGATCCTATATTATCAATGTGGGTATGGGAGCTACCTGCCCTGTCAGGCTAGTTTGAATTCCTTTTTGCAATGTTTTGCATTCAAATAGGGAAAGAAAGTAGCATCTGGTGTGGTACCCGTGAAATGTAAAATGAAGAACTGTCAGCAGCAATGTTACCTATCATATGGAGGAAGATGGTCTGCAGTAGGACAGAGGAGAGCTGGCATGGAGAGTAGGAGAGAGAAAGTCCTGATGAAATTCAGTTCCCTATCATTTTATTTTTATTCTTTTAGGGACAGGGTCTTGTTCTGTCATCCAGGCTAGGGTGCAGTAGCATGATTATAGTTCACTGTAACCTCGAGCTCCTGGACTCAAGCAATCCTCCCACCTCAGCTTCCTGAGTAGGTAGGACTACACGTGCACACTACTATGCCCCGCTATTTTTTTTTTTTTTTGTAGAGATAGGGGTCTTGCTATGTTGCCCAAGCTCTTCTAGAACTTCAAGCAATACTCCCAACTTGGCCTCCCAAAATGCTGGGATTACAGTCATGGCCTGTCCGCTTTATCATCTTATACTTGAGGCCCAGTGGAACCCTTGCTCTTCCTGAAGTTTATTTAGTCAACTCTTCTTTCAGTATTGTTACACACTCCAGTGTCCTTTCAATGAATCACCTTCTCTCCTTAAGCTACTTTGAACTAGTTATCTGAGTAAAGCAGAATGCACTATACTCTGCTTAGCATGAAACACATACTAGGTCTAAAGAAAAGAAAAGTTGAAGAAGAAAAATAGAAAAAAGAGCAACATATTGAACATAAAATCCTATTAAGCTTATAGATAGTTCTTTGTAGATGAGTATTTAATTGCTTTCTAGTTGTTTCAGGTATATTAATCACGCTTTACTAAATAGTATTTGACTCTTTAAAATAAGATAATATATATTGTATATTAACTTATCTCAAATAATATCCACTACAGTTCCAGCCTAAAAATAGTGAACAAAAAAAAGTAATTAATTTATCTAATAATTTGCTTTTGTCCATTCACTTTTTAACTTTTCTAAGACTCTGGGTTAACATTTAATGCACCAGAAGTAATAACTTCCTAATGATGTGTCAATGATAGACAAGATCTAAGGTACCTTTGGGGAGCCATTACCACTTTTCCATCAGATTTGGCACAATATGTGCATGACTCCGTGTGTTACTAATTTGACAAGAATGGTTTCACTTCATGAAAACCTGAAGCATAAAGTAGAATTTGGGGCAGCTTCTTAGTTTATCCACAGCCAATAAACTTAGTAAAAGCTAGAGTAATAGCCAAGTCCCAGACATCTAAGGAAAAAAGTCCTGAGAATCAAGTTGTTGAGATTTTTTAGACTTCTCATCCAGTAAATGGGATAAGTACAGTTAGCAGCAATAGCGAAATGTTTCCTACTTGATTTTATTAACTGATAGATATGAATTAATGCATTAAGATATTTGATTGTGTCATAAAATGTGTATATGAGCATCATGATTCAATTTAATGTACCTATTACTGGTTGATGTGCCATTATATTAGGCTAAATTAAAATATTTTATGGAAAAAAAATTAAAGACTCAAAATTGATTGCATTCATAACTTAAAAGAAGATATTCTGTTCCATTAATATTTTGAATAATTAAAATAATATATCAGAAAACAACATGGAAAAATTGAGAGGTAGACAAGGTAAAACAAAAAGAAGTAGATATAAAGTCAAAAATAAAGTTCACTTTCTATGTTAAATCAATATTTTCTCTTTAGCTCAAGTTTTTAAGAATGAAAGAGTAACAAAAGTCACATGGTTAACTGCTTGTCTCAGCAAGTAAGTTTTAGGTCACATTGTCATAAAAGATATGAATATCCCTCCTTTCCTCTTCCAAATTACAAAACAAGTTGATTCCAAATACAGCATTTTAATTTTTTAAAATAATGTTGTCATAGATAATAAGATGATACTTTGAACAGACCATGAGAACTCTCTTAATGCAACACGTGCCTTATGAAGTGTGGCCATTTGTCTAGGACTGAGGGATTTCTGTGTCATGAGACTTTCAGTGTTAATATGAGGACAATCCTCCTGGCAAACTGAGGTAGTTGGTCATCCTACATGAGCAAATTACTTAGCTTATTTGTAAACATAAGTATCCAGGAGCAGACTTTTTTTTTAATGTTGTGATTTACCCTTGAAGACTTAAATTTTCTTCTCTCTCATTTTAAGTAGATAAAGGCTGATTACTATAAAGATATATGGCATTGACATATTGGGATTTTTCTAAGATTTCTTATTTCTCTTAATTCTAAAGATCAGGAAATATTCTACTTTTCCTACTGGTAGTGTGGTCCATGGACCAAAAGCATCAGCCTGACCTAGGAGTTTATGAACAGTTCATAATAATAAAATTAAACCCAGGCATACTGAGAACACAGAATCTATATTACTAACAAATTCCCAGATGATTCATATATGCAGTAAAGTTTAAGAGGCACTGATCTAAATTCTTTTAAGAATTTTCTAAATGTACTCCAATTTTTCTCTATTGTCAACTCTTTTGAATTCCTGTCTAGTCCACTACAAAGCCAATACAGCCTCATTAGCTCAGCTGCAATTAATTTGAGATGTGTAATCATTTGACCTGGGTTGGACTGACAATTTTGCCCTGCAACCCTTGCCCGACATATGAAAAGGAGTTATCTAAGTTAAGAGGGCAGAGTTGGAAAAACCTACCTTTTTAACTTGTTAACAAATTAATTCTTCGCAAAGTATTGAATGCTATCTGGAAATTAAAATAGTCCTAACAGGACCTTTATTTGAAAACTTTTTGTTTGCAGGCAATTCAAATTAGTGAAAGAAAGAAAACTATATGGGATTAAAAAATATTTGCACAGCCATCCCCCAGTTGACCTGATGTTGTGAAGTTTGATTGAACATTTTAGCAACTCTTGTCTAATTAGTTAAGCTCATTTAACCTACTTTCCTGGTACATTATACTGCAAAATTCAGTCTAATTCTTGGAAGAAGCCATACTCTTTTAGGTCTCCATGTTTTCTTTGCCTTCTTGTTTTCTGATTAGGAATCCCCTCCCCACCATCCTCAAACCCCGTACCTGTTTTCTGACTGGAAAACTCATACTCATCCTTTAAATGTCACTTTAAATGCTATTTCCTATGTAATCAATCATCCAGGTTTAGGTTCTCCCCTAGTGTGTCACTCTCTTTCTGTCTTTGAACAACTTTTAACATTTATTACATTGAATTATTAAGGTTTGTATGTGAGAGATCCTCCAAATGGACTATTGAGTCCTGCAGGCAAATTACCTTTATAGGCTTAACAATCAACTCCGACTATGGGCTTAATAGATATTTGTTGAATGCCTGAATGAATGAGAAACTGAGTGAATGAATATGTTTTAAATGATGAAAGCTCACTGAGAGTGAACATTTTGAATGTTCTTATATGTTTATTTCAATGAATTCTTACTGTCCTAGAAGAACCAGAAGAGAGAGGAGATACAGACATGTGTGTCTAGAAATCTGATGCAGGTCCATCATTTCAGTACACATAAACATCTTATGGAAGCTGAAACTGAAGTAACTGATGCTTTTTGCATTATTTCTTCAAAGTTTTCTTTGTTTAAAAAGTCAGCCCATTTGTACCACAAGGCAGATTGTTCTATGGTTTGCTCCAATTTCCACTAGTCCTCTGCTATGATGACTGGGCACACACTGGCTTGGTCTTTCCAGTCTCACTGTAAGAAGATAGACCTTTAATCTCCTAATGCATTACCTGAATGAAGACTGGCAATTGAGATTTGTCAACATTGGCAAAAATGCCATTTAAAGTTTACAAAGAGCTATCAACTTCAAGGATGAAGACTGAAATTTAATTTTAAAGTAAATTACACTTTTGGAGAAGATTAATGCAAATCGTTAGATGTGAATTTAAGTCAAATGCTTGCCCATAGTTTTTGGAAAATACCTACCTATATGTATGTCTTAAAATTAGCAAAAAAGCACCATTCCGGATCAAGAAGTGTACTGTTTTATTTAGGAATCTAAATTAACTATATCTTAGTGTACTTACACCCTTGTGGATTTGGGAGCAGGGACTGAATCTCAAATGTCTTCAGAGAGAAGGCTGATAAAGTAAATGAGTGAAGTGAGCCAGGTGGGGCTTGAGGTAACCCAAGAGTTTATGCTTTGTTGAAGGGGTAACATTTACTCTGTCTCAACAGATTATGATCATGCAGAAATATGACTCTAAGATTGCCATATATTTCAGTTTTTCAAAAGAAGCTGATGTTCTAGACATTTATACAAAATATCCCATCATTAAAAGGTTGGCAAGTAATTCATAATTTTAAACCTATGTGAGTTAAATAGAATATGTCTGCTGAGTGGATATGGCTCACAAACTAACAGTGTATACCCTTCGTTATGGAGGAATGTCTCTTTGAAATCTGAATTTAGACTGTTCTGACTCCATAAATAATTGGATGACCTTGCATGATAGAATGTGTTCTGCAAGTAGGTCTTTCCTAGTTGTAATGCCTCGTTGGAAAAGACTGCAGAAGGGTCGTGTAGACTCTGTCTGGAAAGAAACTAGTCAAGGATAAATGCCGTGCAATCTGAAATGGATGGGCGATACGTTACCCAAGGTAATTAGTTAAAAATAAATAATCCACACTTCAAAAAATGTATTTCAAGACTCCAGTAATAGTTCCTCTGGGGACATCAAAGTCTGTGTGGGTGTTTCCCCTATGGAAAATAGTTGCTTTAAGTATGGCCACTTTTAATAGGTGATGAAAGTTTCTCTACACCACACTTCACATCCATCATCCCTGAGTCTTGTTTAAAGTTACAGCATGATCTATTTTGTGCTATGGAAAATCTAAAAGCACCTATACCATGTTTTAGGGAGAATAACTAGTGAAAGAGCTGTCTCCTTTCCCTAAGACCATATTGGAAATTCCAGCAATAGCTATCAGTGAAGAACTGTTGTACCCAGTAATAGAAATCTATTAATAGTAGGCCATAGCAAAGGCAGCAGCAAAACACAGCAATAAAAGGCAAGAGAACCCAATATAAAGAGTTTCCATGAATAAGCACACTGGGAAATCTCCCTAACCCCCAGATAACTGGGCATATATTGGCAATCTAATTTCTGGCAATAAAGCTTAAAGGGGAGTAATGCCATAATCATATGTATTTTAAAAATTGTTTCTTGTATTATACTTTTAGGATGATGAGGCTTAAAATATATAGGTTACACTCTACAACATAAATATTTCATAATATAATGCTCTGAATTTTGTGAAACTCAATTAACAATTTTATACTTCTGCAATCTAATGTTGGTATTTACTAATATCAGCATTACTGCTGTCAATTTTACAAGAATAAAGTATAAAATATGTGGCTTGTCGCCCATGTTTGCTTTTTGCTCAATTCATTGGTGCTATTCTTACAGCTTAGCACTCTGATAAACCCAAAACATTCCTTCTTCTCTTTGCCCTTCCAGAACCTCCTCTATAGCACCCCATATGCAAATCTACAAGATCACTTTACTAAAATAAACTGAATGAATGTTATAAGCTATATGAATAGCAAGATATAATATAGAATCTGTCCAAATTAAATGATTTGTTTCAAGATGTTGGCATCATCATCTTTTGCTTCTTAATAATCATAATATCCTTACAAAAGAAATCATCACAAAATGGGCACAAATACAGGATTTATATATTGTTTTTAAAGATCATCTCTGTTTATTGCAAAGCACTCACTCTTCCAAGATCTTCCACTGCCTTGTTTCTCTAGCTCTTCTGCAGATAGTCATTCTGTTTTCCATTCCAGTGTATCAAAAGAAACTTGAACACTATTTCTTACATTTTCATAATTTCATAATACAAAACATTTCTTAGACTGATTGAAATGACTCAAACAGACAAAGAAGAATTGGATGACCATGATTTTTAATGCTTTCTCATACGTCCACTTGGTCAGAATGCAATTTGACCAATGGACTCTTACACATATGCATGAATTTCTGCTATATTAAAAAATCTGTACAAGAGGCAGTGTGGGATATTAACTCAACTTCTTTTTAAATCTTATTGTCTTTGTCTATATTGTTTTGTTATCTATTCTAATAGACGATAAATAAGGCATCTCCAAGTTGTTATTCAATTAATTATTGTCTATTTTCATATCTTTAGAGAAATTCACTTTTGATGGCACTTTACTGAGAAGCAGTATATGGCTTTGGAAGAGGGAAGCCAGGAGGAACAGTCAACAATACTAGAGGGCTTTACCTCTTTAGAAAATGAGTAGGACAGGGAAAGACACATTCATTTCAGCTTGGATCATTACCACACTGGTTCTGTTCCTCTGTTTCTAGGTGATAGAAACAATTAAAATGGAAATCTGGTTCAAAGGAGATAAAGAAGAATAGGTCATTGCCCATCACTCTGAATATCCAGACACTAGTTCAGCGTGACTCATCTATCCACACTGTGAAACCAGTCTGGAGGGCTGAAGTTCTCACATATCTATAAATGATCATTTGTTTTATACTAAAAGCCTAGTATTATATCAGCTGTATTAATTACCACCCAAATTAAAGTTTAAATATTATTCTGTTTTCATTTTGATTGGGGGAGGTATGGCTGTGGGGTTTCTTTCTATTCTAGCAATGAAGAAAGACCAAGGTGACTTTGGAGAGGAAGTTGCCTTGTGATACTATCATTATCAGTAATTAGCCACAGTTAGTAAGCTTCTATTAATCAAATCCACATCTGGAAAGACTTTAACTAATTCTGTGAGATGAACAGTGTTTGCAAAATTTAAAGCATGGAAGGTAACATTGCATAATTTCACAAGCCAATGCAGGGCAGAAAAGAGAAAAAACTCTATCATTAAAGCATAAATAACCTTGTTTAATTAAGCCTATTATCTATAAAATTATATATAACATTTATATAAGTACATAGAATAATTATAACTATTCCCTTTAACAAAATTGGAAACTCAAAATAAAAAAAAATAACTTCTACATATATCCCTCTCATATATTAGTTAATGAGATGCTATAGCAAATGTCTAAGCATGTTGTAAATAAACAGGCAAAGGTAAAAATCTTAATTTTAAGGGACTGTGAGTGTAAATCCTTGGCATTTCTAGGCATGAGGGGAAATGTCCAAATTCTAAGGAAGAATGTAAGGGGTGAAGATGTGATATTACTATCCCTTTCCTCTGCCCTAGGAAAGGAGAGATGAAATACAAAGAGGAGGTTGGGCAGCTCCTACTCTCCTGTACCTTTAGCCAAGTGTTCTGGGGACACCAGAGAGGTACCAATCCATTCCAGAAAAAAAAAAGAAAAAAGTCTAAAACTTGGAATTTTTACTTTCAAACACAGAGCAATTTTATCCCTGAAAAAAATCTCCCCATTTGACTCATCTTAATATTAGCCAGCTTCACAACCCATGCGTACTAGTCAGGGTTCTCTTAAGGGAACAGAATTAATAGGATATATGTATATATGAAGGGGAGTTTATTAAGAAATGACTCACACAATCACAAAGTGAAGTCCCACGATAGGCCATCTACAAACTGAGGAGCAAGGAAGCCAGTCCGAGTCCCAAACCTCAAGAGCAGGGAAGCCAACTGTGCAGCCTTCAGTCTATGGCCAAAGGCCCGAGAGCCCCTGGCAAACTACTGGTGTAACTCCAAGAGTCCAAAAGTTGAAGAACTTGGAGTCTGATGTTCGAGGGCAGGAAGCATCCAGTGTAGGTGAAAGATGAAGACCAGAAGACTCAGCAAGTCAGCTCCTTCCACATTTTTCTGCCTGCTTTATTCTAGCCACAATGGCAGATGATTAGATGGTGACCACCCACACTGAGGGTGGGTCTGCCTCTCCCAGTTCACTGACTCAAATGTTTATCTCCTTTGGTAACACCCTTACAGACACACCCAGGAACACTACTTTGCATCCTTCAATTAAATCAAGTTGACACTCAATATTAACCATCATACCATGCTTTATTTAATTTTACTACCTCCTAATCCAAGACTTCCAAGAAACTATATTTATACCTAAATTAGCACAGCACCTACTGTATCTGCTTCCCGGTTTAGATGTAATGAAAAGAGCATAAAGTCTTGAGCCTACCATTTTCTAGTCAGGGAATATTGGGCAATTAATTAAACCTCACTGAGTCCTGTTTTTCTCTTCTACATTTTTTTGCAAAAGTCAAATCATTTTATGCTTTCTAAATTGCTCTACGAAGGAAAAATAGTAATATTCTCACAAAATAGATACTGCGGGATGATTGTATTTGCTTATATATTTTTTCTTTTATTGTTCTTTTTTCCTTCTGACTCTATCTGAAACTTGCCTCTTTCCCTAAGACATTATTTTCATCAGAGCATTGTCTCCTTCACTTTTTTTTGTCACCATGACCATGGAGGTATGGCAGATGTCTTCCTTGCTTCTTATAGCTACTTTCAGATTACTGTCTTCCCCTACTCCCTGAAATCCCTGGATTTTAAGCTTATACAATCAGAATATATCACTCCTATCCTTCCTAATAGATTTGCAGCACCTTGGTCCACTTGCCTTCATTCTGTAAAAATTTTAGTCCCCTATTCACGGTCATTTCTCTTAAATATTGCAGCTCTACAATCTTTGATTATTTTAAGATTCATAAAAACAATCTTTTCAATAACTTGTCCCTTCATTTATAAGTCAAATATTTGTTGAGTGCCTCAAATTTGTCAGGCCCTAATTTCAAGGTGGGAGATAGAGCAGGAAAGCAAAAAAAAAAATCACTGCTTTTAAGGAAATGGCATTCAAGTGGAGGAGATAGATAATAAATAAAACCAAAAAGTAAAAATATATAGTATTTCAGATCATGATAAGGGCTGAGAAGAAGAAAAAGATAAACCAAGAAACATAGCTATGTAATGTATATGTTTGGGGGTGGGGTGATGGGGCTTTGAAATTTTAAGAATGGTCAGAAAAAGTATCACTAAGAAGATGACTTCTGAATAAGGATATGAGGGAATTCAAAATACAAAGCCTTTTTAGCTTCTTGACCTTCTCCCCTCTAATAGTCTGTTGCCTACCCTACCTCAGCAGTATGTCCCCATAGACACAACTTATATCTTCTTGATACCAAGAAATGTACCCTTCCGTTCTCTCAGTTCCAAACCTGCCACTCTGTGATCACCACCCCTATCATTCCAACCCCTACCTTTGCGCATTCTAGCTCATACAGTCCTTCATTCCCACTGGATCTAGGGTTAGTTAGTTGTCTTACCAACTTTTTATTATTTCTCATCCCTCCTTTTGTTTTTACTTCCTTCCTTAATTAGTTGGTATTAATGGCCCACTACTAAAATCACTTTCTTGTATATAATATTAAGCCTCAACTGCCCTGCCTACTCCCTTTATTGTGCCCACTTGGCAGAATCCCAATCTTGATTAATCTACTCAATCTTGCATCTCAACAGCTAAATGTGATAATTACCTCATACATACTTTAATCTCCTCAAACCTGTAATAGTTTCTCTGACTCCCTCAAACTCAATTGAGGATTATGTGTCTTACGTTTCTGAGAAACTTCATTTCTGTATATTTCCAACATTACATTTACCAACCAACCCAAATACAGCTAATATACTCTGCCTTGTTGCTTCTCAGCAAGAATAAACTGTCCATGACTTATTTATTATTTACCTATTTATTTTTTTGAGATGGAGTTTCGCTCTTGTTCTGGTTGGAGTGCACTGGCATGATTTTGGCTCACTGCAACCTCCGCCTCCCAGGTTCAAGTGATTCTTCTGCCTCAGCCTCCCAAGTAGGTGGGATTCCAGGTGCATGCCACCACACCCAGCTAATTTTTTGTATTTTTAGTAGAGATGGGGTTTCATCATGTTGGCCAGGCTAGTCTCAAACTCTTGACCTCAGGTGATCTGCCTGCCTCAGCCTTCCAAAGTGCAGGGATTACAGGCGTGAGCCACCACGTACAGCCCATGACTTTCTTTAGGATGAACTCCTCCTTTAATAGACATAAATTATTCTCTAATCACATTAAATCCCTCATTTTACTAAATCCCCCATCAGCACACAAACATACTATAATATTTTATATCAAGAGAGAGTCAGGCCTCTGAGCCCAAGCCAAGCCATCACATCCCCTGTGACTTGCCGGTATATGCCCTGATGGCCTGAAGTAACTGAAGAATCACAAAAGAAGTGAATATGCCCTGCCCCACCTTAACTGATGACATTCCACCACAAAAGAAGTGTAAATGACTGGTCCTTGCCTTAAGTGATGACATTACCTTGTGAAAGTCCTTTTCCTAGCTCATCCTGGCTCAAAAAGCTCCCCCACTGAGCATCTTGCGACCCCCACTCCTGCCTGCCAGAGAACAAACCCCCTTTGACTGTAATTTTCCTTTACCTACCCAAATCCTATAAAACGGCCCCACCCCTATCTCCCTTCACTGACTCTCTTTTCAGACTCAGCCCGCCTGCACCCAGGTGAAATAAACAGCCATGTTGCTCACACAAAGCCTGTTTGGTGGTCTCTTCACACGGATGCGCATGAAATTTGGTGCCGTGACTCGGATCAGGGGACCTCCCTTGGGAGCTCAATCCCCTGTACTCCTGTTCTTTGCTCCGTGAGAAAGATCCACCTATGACCTCAGGTCCTCAGACTGACCAGCCCAAGGAACATCTCACCAATTTTAAATCAGGTAAGCGGCCTCTTCTTACTCTCTTCTCCAACCTCTCTCACTGTCCCTCAACCACTTTCTCCTTTCCACTCTTTAATCTCTCTCTTCTCTTAATTTCAATAACTTTCATTTTCTGATAGAGACAAAGGAGACACGTTTTATCCATGGACCCAAAACTCCGGCGCTGGTCACGGACTGGGAAGGCAGCCTTCCCTTGGTGTTTAATAATTGCAGGGACGCCTCTCTGATTATACACTGACGTTTCAAGGGTGTCAGACCACGCAGGGACGCCTGCCTTGGTCCTTCACCCTTAGTGGCAAGTCCCGCTTTCCTGGGGCAGGGGCAAGTACCCCAACCCCTTCTCCTTCACCCTTAGCAGCAAGTCCTGCTTTTCTAGGGGGCAAGAACCCCCAATCCCTTATTTCCACGCCCCAACCTCTTATCTCTGTGCCCCAATCCCTTATTTCCGCACCCCGACCTCTTATCTCTGTGCCCCAATCCCTTATTTCCACGCCCCAACCTCGTATCTCTGCACCCCAATCCCTTATTTCCATGCCCCGACCTCTTATCTCTGTGCCCCAACCCCTTTCCCCACTTTTCTGGAAGGTAAGATCCCCCGAACCCCTTCCCTCTGTTTCTCTACTCTCTTTTCTCTAGGCTTGCTTCCTTCACTATGGGCAACCTTCCACCCTCCATTCCTCCTCCTACTCCCTTGGCCTGTGTTCTCAAAAACTTAAAACCTCTTCAACTCACACCTGACCTAAAACTTAAATGCCTTATTTTCTTCTGCAATGCCACTTGACCCCAATACAAACTCGACAGTAGTTCCAAATAGCCAGAAAATGGCACTTTGAATTTTTCCATCCTGCAAGATCTAAATAATTCTTGTCATAAAATAGGCAAACGGTCTGAGGTGGCTGACGTCCAGGCATTCTTTTACACATCAGTCCCTTCCTAGTCTCTGTGCCCAGTGCAACTCGTCCCAAATCTTCCTTCTTTCCCTCCCACCTGTCCCCTCAGTACCAACCCCAAGCGTCGTTGAGTCTTTCTAATCTTCCTTTTCTACAGACCCATCTGACCTCTCCCTTCCTCCCCAGGCTGCTCCTCGCCAGGCCGAGCTAGGTCCCAATTCTTCCTCAGCCTCTGCTCCTCCACCCTATAATCCTTTTATCACCTCCCCTCCTCACACCTGGTCCGGATTACAGTTTCGTTCCGTGACTAGCCCTCCCCCTCCTGCCCAGCAATTTACTCTTAAAAAGGTGGCTGGAGCTAAAGGCATAGAGTCAAGGTTAATGCTCCTTTTTCCTTATCCCAAATCAGAAGCGTTTAGGCTCTTTTTCATCAAATATAAAAATCCAGCCCAGTTCATGACTTGTTTGGCAGCAACCCTGAGACGCTTCACAGCCCTAGACCCTAAAAGTTCAAAAGGCCGTCTTATTCTCAAAATACATTTTATTACCCAATCTGCTCCCAACATTAAATAAAACTCCAAAAATTAAATTCCGGCCCTCAAACCCCACAACAGGATTTAATTAACCTCGCCTTCAGGCATACAATAATAGAAAAAAGTTGCAATTCCTTGCCTCCACTGTGAGACAAACCCCAGCCACATCTCCAGCACACAAGAACTTCAAAACGCCTGAACCGCAGTGGCCAGGCGTTCCTCCAGAACCTCCTCCCACAGGAGCTTGCTACACATGCCAGAAATCTGGCCACTGGGCCAAGGAATGCCCGCAGCCCGGGATTCTTCCTAAGCCACGTCCCAGCTCTGTGGGACCCCACCGAAAATCGGACTGTTCAACTCACCTGGCAGCCACTCCCAGAGCCCCTGTAACTCTGGCCCAAGGCTCTCTGACTGACTCCTTCTCAGATCTTCTCGGCTTAGCGGCTGAAGACTGACACTGCCCGATAGCCTCGGAAGCCCCCTAGACCATCACGGACGCCAAGCTTCGGGTAACTCTCACAGTGGAAGGTAAGCCCATCCCCTTCTTAATCAATACGGAGGCTACTCACTCCACATTACCTTCTTTTCAAGGGCCTGTTTCCCTTGCCTCCATAACTGTTGTGGGTATTGATGGCCAGGCTTCTAAACCTCTTAAAACTCCCCAACTCTGGTGCCAACTTAGACAATACTCTTTTAAGCACTCCTTTTTAGTTATCCCCACCTGCCCAGTTTTCTTATTAGGCTGAGACACTTTAACTAAATTACCTGCTTCCCTGACTATTCCTGGACTACAGCTATATCTCATTGCCGCCCTTCTTCCCAATCCAAAGCCTCCTTTGCGTTCTCCTCTTGTATCCCCCCACCTTAACCCACAAGTATAAGATACCTCTACTCCCTCCTTGGCGACCAATCATGCACCCCTTACCATCTCATTAAAACCTAATCACCCTTACCCCACTCAACGCCAATATCCCATCCCGCAGCACACTTTAAAAAGATTAAAGCCTGTTATCACTCGCCTGCTACAGCATGGCCTTTTAAAGCCTATAAACTCTCCCTACAATTCCCCCATTTTACCTGTCCTAAAACCAGAGAAGCCTTACAAGTTAGTTCAGGATCTGCGCCTTATCAACCAAATTGTTTTGCCTATCCACCCCGTGGTGCCAAACCCATATACTCTCCTATCCTCAATACCTGCCTCTACAACCCATTATTCTGTTCTGGATCTCAAACATGCTTTCTTTACTATTCCTTTGCACCCTTAATCCCAGCCTCTCTTCGCTTTCACTTGGACTGACCCTGACACCCATCAAGCTCAGCAAATTACCTAGGCTGTACTGCCGCAAAGCTTCACAGACAGCCCCCATTACTTCAATCAAGCCCAAATTTCTTCCTCAACTGTTACCTATCTTGGCATAATTCTCATAAAAACACACGTGCTCTCCCTGCCAATCGTGTCTGACTGACCCCTCAAACCCCAGCACCTTCTACAAAACAACAACTCCTTTCCTTCCTAGGCATGGTTAGCGCGGTCAGAATTCTTACACAAGAGCCAGGCCCACACCCTGTAGCCTTTCTGTCCAAACTTGACCTTACTGTTTTAGCCTAGCCCTCATGTCTGCGTGCAGTGGCTGCCGCTGCTTTAATACTTTTAGAGGCCCTCAAAATCACAAACTATGCTCAACTCACTCTCTACAGTTCTCATAACTTCCAAAATCTATTTTCTTCCTCATACCTGATGCATATACTTTCTGCTTCCCGGCTCCTTCAGCTGTACTCACTCTTTGTTGAGTCTCCCACAATTACCGTTGTTCCTGGCCCAGACTTCAATCCGGCCTCCCACATTATTCCTGATACCACACCTGACCCCCATGACTGTATCCCTCTGATCCACCTGACATTCACCCCATTTCCCCAAATTTCCTTCTTTTCTGTTCCTCACCCTGATCATGCTTGATTTATTGATGGCGGTTCCACCCAGGCCTAATCGCCACACACCAGTAAAGGCAGGTTATACTATAGCACAAGCCACTAGCCCGCCTCTTAGAACCTCTCATTTCCTTTCCATAGTAGAAATCTATCCTCAAGGAAATAACTTCTCAGTGTTCCATCTGCTATTCTACTACTCCTCAGGTATTCTTCAGGCCCCTTCCCTTCTCTACACATCAAGCTCGAGGATTTGCCCCACCCAGGACTGGCAAATTAGCTTTACTCAACATGCCCTGAGTCAGATAACTAAAATACCTCTTAGTCTAGGTAGATACTTTCACTGGATAGGTAGAGGCCTTTCCTACAGGGTCTGAGAAGGCCACCGCAGTCATTTCTTCCGTTCTGTTAGACTTAATTCCTCAGTTTAGCCTTCCCACCTCTATACAGTCTGATAACAGATGAGCCTTTATTAGTCAAATCAGCCAAGCAGTTTTTCAGGCTCTTAGTATTCAGTGAAACCTTTATTTCCCTTACGGTCCTCCATCTTCAAGAAAAGTAGAATGGACTGAAGGTCTTTTAAAAACACACCTCACCAAGCTCAGCCACCAAAAAGGACTGGACAATACTTTTATCACTTTCCCTTCTCAGAATTCAGGCCTGTCCTCAGAATGCTACAGGGTACAGCCCATTTAAGCTCCTGTATAGAAGACGCTCCTTTTCATTAGGCCCCAGTCTCATTCCAGACACCAGACCAACTTGGACTGTGCCCCAGAAAACTTGTCATCCCTACTATCTTCTGTCTAGTCATACTCCTATTCACCATTCTCAACTACTCATACATGCCCTGCTCTTGTTTACACTGCCAGTTTACACTGTTTTTCCAAGCCATCACAGCTGATATCTCCTGGTGCTATCCCCAAACTGCCACTCTTAACTCTTAAATAAATAATCTTTGCTGGCAGGACTATGCTGAATCTCCTTAGGCAGTCTCTAATCAGATATCCTGAGTCATCCCAATTCTTAGACCTTTTATACCTGTTTTTCTCCTTCTGTCATTCCATTTAGTTTCTCAATTCATCCAAAACCGTATCCAGGCCATCATCAATCATTCTATATGACAAATGTTTCTTCTAACATCCCCACAATATCACCCCTTACCACAAGACCTCCCTTCAGCTTAATCTCTCCCACTCTAGGTTCCCACGCCGCCCCTAATCCCGCTTGAAGCAGCCCTGAGAAACATCGCCCATTCTCTCTCCATACCACCCCCCAAAAATTTTCGCCGCCCCAGCACTTCAACACTATTTTGTTTTATTTTTCTTATTAATATAAGAAGGCAGGAATGTCAGGCCTCTGAGCCCAAGCCAAGCCATCGCATCCCCTGTGACTTGCATGTATACGCCCAGATGGCCTGAAGTAACTGAAGAATCACAAAAGAAGTGAATATGCCCTGCCCCACCTTAACTGATGACATTCCACCATGAAAGAAGTGAAAATGGCCGGTCCTTGCCTTAAGTGATGACATTACCTTGTGAAAGTCCTTTTCCTAGCTCATCCTGGCTCAAAAAGCACCCCCACTGAGCACCTTGGGACCCCCACTCCTGCCCGCCAGAGAACAAACTCCCTTTGACTGTAATTTTCCTTTACCTACCCAAATCCTATAAAACGGCCCCACCCTTATCTCCCTTCGCTGACTCTCTTTTCGGACTCAGCCCACCTGCACCCAGGTGAAATAGCTATATTGCTCACACAAAGCCTGTTTGGTGGTTTCTTCACACGGACGCGCATGAAAGAAAAGAAAGAGAGAAAGTGAAAGAAAGAGAGGAAGGAAGGATGGAAGGAAGGAAGGTAAGAAAGAAGGAAGGAAGGAGGGAGTGAGGGAGGGAGGGACAGAGGGAGGAAGGGAGGGAGGAAGGGAGAGAGGGAGGGAGGGAAATACTCTTCAACTTCATATTCCTCTTCAACCACTATAGCATATCTCTGCTTCCATTTATGGAAAAGCTTCAAAATAGTTGTGTGTACTCATTGTCTCCATTTCCTCTCCTTTTTTCACTCTGGAACCCACCAAAATTAGGCTTTTGTTCTCATCATTCCAACGAAAAGCTCTGGTCAAAGTCCCTGCAATGTCCATTTTGATAAATCAAGTCCTGCATTCATAATTTTTATCTTTAATTCAACCTATCTGTGCCTTCCACACAGTTGATCACTTCTTCTTGTAGTACCCTGTTCATTTGGCTTCCAGGACACTATTCTCCTTGTTCCTCTTTCATCTTATTTACTGTACCTGGTTATTTTACTTTTCTGGTCTCCTATCATCTTATAATAATGAAATTTTCCAGGGCTTAATCATTAGACCTCTTTCCTCTTTTTGGCAAAACCCACTGACTTTCATTTCACCCTATGGATGTGAATACTATGCCTATACTGACACTTGCAAACATTCATATTTCCATTCAGTACCCTTCCTTGAACTCCAGATTCTTACTTTCAACTAGTCACTTTACCTCTCCTCTTAGATATCTAATATATAACTCAAATGTAACAGCTGCAAAGGTGACTTCATTTATTTTCTTCTTCCTTCCAAAACGATTTTGTTTTTCCGAATCAGTGACAACGACTTCCTTTAAATTGCTCAAGTCAAATTTCTTGGGGCCATTTTCACTTTTCTCTTTCTCTCATACTCTAAACTGTGAAGGAAAAAAATGCTCTGGAGTGATTCATCAGGCAAGGAAAACTATTTGGTCCCAGAACTTTGGGAGGCTGAGGTGGGAGTATCACTTGAGCCCAGAAGTTCAAGAGCAGCCTGGGCAACAGAGTGGGACCCTGTCTCTTCAGAAAGAAAGAGAAAAAACAAACTAGCCAGGCATGGTGGCATTCACCTGTGGTGCCAGATACTTGGGAGGCTGTGATGGGAGGGAGGTTGAGGCTATAGTATTCATGTTCATGGCACTGCCTTCCAGCCTGGGTTCAGAGCTAGGCCCCATCTCCAAAAAAGAAAAAGAAAAACTTTACTCAAAATTATTGCAATAAGGATCGAGTCCATTGCAAAAGGAGAGATAGGTTGAAACAAAAAGTAGGAGAGATTTTAAGCTCAGAGGTGAGATAGTGCAAAAGTACTGGAGAAAGTTAGCCAGGAGGTTGGTCAATGCCAATAGACCATCTGTGTTTGCTAATTGTCATTTATTGCCCCCCTTCCCTTTCACAGAGACTGGGAGATAAGGGCCCTGTGTTTCTAGCTTATTACATTTAAAAGAAAAGGTTTCCAGGTCTTTTGGAGAGACATTCCTTGGTTGTAGAAAATTTACATTTCAAAGAAACAGAGAAGGTATTTAAGATTGCAAAATTTCTAAAGGAAATGCTCAAAGAAAAGGGAGGTCAAGGGCCCATACTCATAAAAAAACCTGTCTAAAGTTAAGTCAAGATGAAGGGAAGTCAAGATCATCTTGGTCAATATACAATCAATCACATATCTATCCACAAAATTCACTTTTTACAGGTCTTTGCTCAAAGGTCACATGACTAGGGAGTTTTCTTGACCTCCCTTTATAAAATAGCAATCTCCCTCACATTTTTCCACTACACATGCATACCTGTCCATCTTATCACCCTCAAACTGTGGCATTTATTTATTTAGTTCATTTTTTCTACTTTATAAATTTTTATTTTATTTTAGATTGAGGGAGTATATGTGCAGATTTGTTACATGGATGTTTTGCATAATGGGGGTTTGGAGTTCTGTTGTACTCATCACCCAAATAGTTACCATTGTACCCAACAGACAATTTTTCAACCCTCATGTCTATCCCACCTTGCCTGCTTTTGGAGTCCCCAGCATGTATTGTTTCCATCATTACGTTCATGTGCACCTAGTTGTTAGCTCCCACTTATAAGTTAGAATGAGCGATATTTGATTTTCTGTTTTGGAGTTAGTTCACGTAGGATAATGGCCTGCAGCTCCATCCATGTTGCTGCAAAGGACATGATTTCATTCTTTTTCATGGCTGCATATTATTCCATGGTGTATATATACAACATTTTCTTTATTCATTCAACCATTGATGTACACTTAAGCTGATTCTATAACTTTGCTATTGCTATTAGTGCTATGATAAACATACGAACTCAGGTGTCTTTTTATATACCAATTTCTTTTCCTTCGGGTATATATCCAGTAGTGGGACTGCTGGGTTGAAGGGTAGTTCTATTTTTAGTTTTTTGAGAAATCTCCATACTGTTTTAAATAAATGTTTTACTAACTTACATTCCCACCAAAAGTGTATAAGCAAACCCTTTTTTCTGCATCCACAACAATATCTATTGCTTCATGACTTTTTAATAACAGCCAGAATGCAATTAATAGAAATTGCATCAAATCTGTAGACTGCTTTGGGCAGTATGATCATTTCAACTATATTAATTTTTTAAACACGGGATGTTTTTGCATTAATTTGTATCATCTATTATTTCTTTCATGAGTGTTTTATAGTTCCTCTTATAGAGATCTTTCACCTCCTCAGTTAAATATATATATATATGTATTTTATTTACTTATTTTTGTATCTATTGTAAGAATTGACTTCTTGATTTGGTTCTCAGCTTGAATGTTACTAGCGTATCAAATTGCTACTAATTTTTTACATTGATTTTTGTATTGTGAAACTTCACTGAAGTTGTTTATCAAGCCTATGAGTCTTGGAAGAGTCTTCTGGGTTTTCCACATATAATAAGATTCTGTTATCAATGAACAGAAATAATATGACTTCCTCTTTTCCAAATAGGATGACTTTTATTTCTTTCTCTTACCTAATTGCTTTGGCTAGGACTTCCAGTTCTATATTGAATAGAAATGATTAAAGGGGATAACCTTGTCTTGCTCCAATTCTTAAGAGGAATCCTTTCAACTTTTCCCTGTTCAGTATGATGTCAGCTGTGGGTTTGTCATATATGTCTCTTATTATATTAAGGCACATTCCTTCAATGCCTAGTTTGTTGAGGGTTTTATCATGAAGGTATGTTGGATTTAGATGAGTGCTTTTTTTCTGCATCAGTTGAGATGATCTATGGTTTTTGTTTTTAATTCTGTATATGTGGTGAATCACATTTACGGATTTGTGAATGTTGAACCACCTTTGCATTCCTGGAATAAAACCCACTTGATCATGATGAATTATTTATTTAATGTGCTGTTGGATTCAGTTTGCTATTACTTTGTTGAGGACTTTTGCATTTGTGCTCATCAGGAATTTTGGCCTGTGGTTTTCTTTTTCTGTTATGTTCTTGTCTGATTTTGTTATCAGGGTAATAGTGGTTCCATGAAATAAGTTAGAGAGGAATACCTCCTACTTTATTTTTTGGAATAGTTTTAATAAGATTAGTAGCAGCCTTTCTTTGTATGTCTGGTAAAATGTGCCTGTGAACCCATCTGATCCTGGGACTTTACTTGTTTGAAGATTTTTTATTACTGAATTACTTTCATTACACATTATTGTCCTGTTAAGGATTTCTTTTTCTTCCTGGTTCAATTTTGGGAGGTTGTATGGTTGCAGGAATCTATCCACTTCCCCTGGGTTTTCTAGTTTGTGTCTATAGTGATGGTCCTAGTAATCTATGATAATCTTTTGCATTTCTGTGGTATCTATTTTAATGTTGCCTTTATCATTCCTGATTGTACGTATTTGAATCTTCTCTTTTCCTCATCGTTAAACTAGCTAGTGGTCTATCAATTTTGTTTATCCCTTTAAAGAAACAGCTTTTTGTTTTGTTCATCCTCTTTATCATTTTGTCAGTCTCAGTCTCATTTGGTTCTAGTCTGATCTTTGTTATTTCTTTTCTCCTGCTAGCTTTCAGTTTGATTTGTTCTTGTTTTTCTTTGAGTTGTGACATTAGGTTGTTAATCGAGATCTTTCTATCTTTTTGATGTAGGCATTTAATGCTATAAACATTTTTTAGGACTCCTTTTGCTATATCCCAGAGATTTTGCTATGTTGTGTCTCTATTTTCACTCATTTTGGAAAATTTTTTTATTTCTGCCTTGATGTCATTGTTTACCCAAAAGTCATTCAAGAGAAAGTTGTTTAGTTTTCATATACTTATGTAACTTTAAGATTTCCTCTTAGTATTGATTTCTAATTTTATTCCACTGTGGTCTAAGAAGGTATTTGACATGATTTTGATTTTTTTGAACTTACTGAAATTTACTTTATGGCTAAGCAGATGGTCAATTTTGGAGAATGTTCCATATGCAGATGAAAAACATGTATGTTCTGTTGTTCTTGCGTAGAATGTTCTGTAAGTATCTATTAGTTCCATTTGGCCTAGAGTCCAGTTTATGTCCAGAGTTTTTTTGTTGACTCTCTGACCTATCTAGTGTTGTCAGAGGGGTGTTGAAGTCCTTAACTATTATTGCATTGCTATCAGTTTATTTTCTTAGGCCTAATAGTATTTGTTTTATGAATCTGGATGCTTAAAACGTTAAGTGTTAAGTGTTGGGTGTGTATATATTTAAGATAATTAAATCTTCTTATTGTATTGAACACTTTATCAACATATAATGTTCTTCTCTTTTTTCTTTATACTGTTGTTGGCTTAAATTTTGTTTTGTCTTCTATAAGAGTATCTACCCCTGCTCACTGGTTTTCCATTTGCTTGATAGACCTTTTCCACCTTTTTACTTTGGGTCTTAGGTGTCCTTATGTATGTCTCTTTTAGGCAGAAGATTATAGGGTCTTGTTTTTTCATTAATCAGTTTGTGGCATTTAAAACTATCTGACATATTCAGATACATAATACATTTACTAATTTCTTTCATATTTATCTCCCCCTACTTGCCTGTAAACTTCATAAAGACAGGTACTGTTTTGTCTACTGCTGGTTCTCCAGTATCTAAAACAGTGTCTGATACATAGTATCCACTCAATAATTATTTCTGAATGAATTAATGAATGAAATGCCAGATTATTTCTGGCAATTAAATACAACTTATTTGAGCCCCAAAGTGCCAAATTTCACATTATAAATATCTTTGAAAAATCTGATGAAAACTGTATATTCTTTCTGCAGAATAATTAATACACATGAAGACACACTCACTTGATTTTTTGCTTATAATTTCAGAGACTAGTATGGATTTCATAAAGTCCTAGGGTTTCATATAAACTCTAGGATCTCACTGATTCCAAGGAAACCTCTCTGGACTACCGTGTACCTGTAACTGTCTAAACATTTTGAGTCCCAGCAATCACATAGGCTTACTAATTTGTACACAACATACTTCTACTGCAATATATTTCAACTTAGGAAACAAAGTAATACATTGAAAGATCACACTCAAATCCTGCTAAATTGTCCACAAATGGGATGGTGTCAAGATTTCTTATAAACTGCTTCAGGAAAAAATGTTTTTAACATTCTAATACTTCATAATATACTATTGATACAATGTCAAATAAGCATATTTTTTATTTTCCTCTTTGAGAAAAAGTATAGTACATGTGAGATTCTTAATTTCATGTCTATATCTTCAAAGAGCTGCGATCAAGGACAATCTTTTCTATTGTACTATTTAATGCTGCTATTATAACTTAAGAATGTATGAAAAATGCACAAACATCAACTTACTGTTCATAAAGAAGAATCTGCTTTAATAAAAACACACCCAAATATGCATGGCTTAAATATCCATTTCCAGAATGACTATGTAATTGTGTCAAGTGACTCAGTATTTAAACTCATTTGTACAAAAGCCTACATTCACTTAATAAAGCCCTTTCTCTCAGTCTGCACACGAGTATTCAACCTGGAGAGGCTTTTGTTTATCTGAGGTACATTCTTTATTACATTCTTGGATAGCAACTTGATACTGATTTCAATAGGCTAGAAAAATAAATTATGGAATATTTAATCAGAACGAAGGTTATATGCCCATTTAAGAGTATAGAGTTGGGCAGGGCAAAATGATGTGTGTGAACAAAGAGGTTAGAGAAATAATGTTTAGGGTCAGTGAAGAACATCCAGGCTATGATACTGTTAAACATCAAAGGGGCCTGATTTTCTCTATTTGAACTTTGAACCAGTGGGTAAAAAGGAAAAATTGTGAAGCACATACAATCAATGTATCACTTTTAATCCTAATAAAAGCTTAGGTTAGAACACACAGATTAAGTTTGAGACAATTAAGGACTTCCTAATTCTAAAGCCAAAAATTACACAGAATGATTTCCAAATCACAGGCTGTGCTTGACTTTGCCTGTAGGGACTTGATGCTATAAATGTATTACAATGAAGAAACTAACAAAAATATATGCCTCCTCTGATCAGGTAGGTCCCATGAAGAATAGAAAAAAATGCTTAGCTTTACTGCCCCAGTTTCTAGGACGAGGGAGGTATAGAAGAGAAAATTAGCATTATATTAACGTATTCACAGAAGGGGACATCAGAAATGGGTGTTAACGTTCACATTTAATTTGAAAGGAGGATTGTGCTATCTAGCCAAGGTGGACCACCAAGAGGGAACTTGTAGAAAACAAGAATCAAGCAAAAAGAAACATGAAAACTTATCCAAGAATGAGGGTCAAGGAGATCACTGACAAGGTAGCAGCAGACTAGAACCCTCACCAAGATGATTCTATACTTTCAGGCAGCTTTTCACACATGGCTATGACTAGACCTCATACAACCAACTTTTTCTGCTAACATGTAACTTAGAAATCATTTATTTATTAGAATCATGTTTCTTATTTTGACACAATACTCCTTTTGCTAGAATTTTTATTTCACTCACTTGTGATCTAAGATCTTTAGCATTCTTTAAAAGCTTCTCATTATACACTTGTTTTTTAAATACTCAAAAATTCTACTAGGTAGATTCATACTTTGAACCTAGGAGAAGTAACTTCTATTTTACAGTTCTATCCTGTGTATGCCAATCATTGATTACTGCCAAATTATTTTATACCATTTTTAAATTTAAAGACTGACACAGTGCAGTTAAGTGGGAAGACAAAGAAAGCCCAAATAAAGAAGAATATATGTATGCAATCAACTTCTCCACCAAAGGCAACCATTCTTAACATTTTAGTGTAGGTCTTTCCAGTATCTTTTTTGTTCATTATACTTTTTCTTTGAATCAAATGGTAGCACTTTTTAATATTATTTAATAGCAATATTCAGTATGTATTTTCTTATGATAAAACACATTTTCATTCACAGACATCTACAAATTCAACTAACATTTACTGAACTCTTTCTATATATCAGGCACTGGGTTAAGCACTGGGTCTATGAGGATGAGTGAGGAAAACAGGCCTAGGCATAGCCTTCGTGGTGCCTAAAATTAATGGAGAGAGAGAGAATAAATAACTAAACAAACAAACAAATTAATCAACAAATACCCTGTGAGCCAACATGCTATTATATATGGTATGTTCTTATTTTATTTTCTTATTGTTTATTGAGAAATACAATTTATTTTTACATATATCAATTATTGGTGAATTGAAGATCTACATGTAATAAACAAAACAATAACTACCTGGTAAATGGAGTAAGTACAGTTTACCCTATCTCTTCTACTGAATACAGCTATGAAACTTGGACAGAATATGTGAAGATGAGAACTCTGAAAAGTAAATAATATAAGGCAGATGAGAAAGATGACCAGAATTTGAAATATCAAACTGGCAGTGGGTTTTACCCAGAAGGCGCTGGATCACAGAGATCATAGTATGGAAATCACTGAGAGGGAAAAGTTTAGGAAAATAATCGATAAGCCCAGGCTTATGGATGCCTGGGCTCACTCTCCACCTGTGCATGAATGGATCTAAGCTTAAGCATACCAAAAACCTTGAGAATTAAACTAACAGATAGTCCACTGCCCAGATTCCAGACTGGCCACTGGGGCAGTGCACATAGAAGGAAACGTCAAAATGGGGCATTACTGTTTGTATTTAATCTCACAGTTAATATCGGAATGATACTGCAAAGGCTTTGAAACTGAACTGACAAGGGAACCACAGCCTACAGAAAGTGTGTCAGAACTGGTGAACTGACAAATCCAAATAGCTTGCCAATACAAAAATTATCAACATTCTGTATATAATTCAAACAAGACTCAGAGTCTCACATCATATGCAATGTATCCAGAATACAATCCACAATTACTCAGCATTTGAAGATCCAAGAAAAGCTCACAGAAGCCAGAAGAAAAATAGAACAAACTGCAAGAAAAGAGGTGTCAGCCAGGCGTGGTGACTCACACCTCTAATCCCAGCACTTTGGAAGGCCAAGGCAGGTGGATCACTTGAGCTCAGGAGTTTGAGACCAGCCTGGGTGACATAGTGAAACCCTGTCTCTACAAATTTTTTTTTTAAAAAGATAGCTGGGTGTGGTGGCACATGCCTGTAGCCCCAGCTACTCAGGAGGCTGAGGTGGGAGGATAGCTTGAGCCTGGGAATTTGAGATTACAGTGAGCCAAACGGTGCTACTGCACTCCAGCCTGGGTGACAGAGCAAGACCCTGTCTCGGGGGAAAAAGTAAAAAAGAATAGAGGAGAAAAAGAAAAAATCTATCAACTCAAAATTCCATATTCAGTAAAATCACTCTCTAGCTGAAATTAAGATACACTCAGATGAAGGACAAATAAGAGAATGTATTGCCATAACACCTGCTCACAATGAAGTACTAAAGGAATTTGTTTAAACAAAAGAGAAATAGTTCCAGAAGAAACTTAGAACATCAGGAATAAAGAAGGGGTAGATATTCAATATATTGACAAATATAATAGCTTATCCTTCTCTTTTTGAATTTGAAAAATATATTTGATGATCAACTTCTAGCAAGACTTAAAAAGAAAATTCTGATGTACAAAGAAAAAACAGAGAAGACACAAATTACTAATATAAGGCATAAAACAGGGGATGTCACTACAGACACATCAGACTTTAAAAGAATACAAAGGGAATACTATAACCAATCTGTCCATATAAATTTAACAATGTAGATGAAACTGACCAGTTCATCATAAACCACAAACTACAACAGATAACATAGATAACCTGAATAAACCTATTTATTTAATATCTTTCCCCCAAATATCTTTAGACCTAGAGTATTATAAGTAAATTGTATGAAACACGTAGAAAGGAAATAAAAAAATAAAAAGTAGAAATAATAACAAAACTACACAATGTGTTTCAGAAAACAGAAGAAGGAAAAACACCTACTAATCTTCTTTATTTTATTTTATTTTTTTTGAGACAGAGTTTTGCTCTTGTTGCCCAGGCTGGAGTGCAATGACGCGATCTCAGCTCACCGCAACCTCCTCCTCCCGGGTTCAAGTGATTCTCCTGCCTCAGCCTCCCAAGTAGCTGAGATTACAGGCATGCACCATGCCCGGCTAATTTTGTATTTTTAGTAGAGATGGGGTTTCACCATGTTGGTCAGGCTGGTCTCGAACTCCAGACCTAGGGTGATCCACCTGCCTTGGCCTCCCAAAGTGCTGGGATTACAGGCGTGAGCCACCGTGCCTGGCCAACATCTACTAGCCTATTTTATGAAGTCAGCACTACCCTGAGAGGAAAACCAAAGATAGTACATATTTTTTCATGAACACATATACAACAATTTTTGAAAAAAAAATCAAATTCAGCAATATAGAAAAAGCATTATACACTATAAGCAAGTGAAGTTTATCCATATTGTGCACTACTAGTTCAATATTCAAAAATTAGTTAACGTAATCCACCATTTTAACAATCTGAAGAAGATATGATATCATACTCGATGGTGAAAGAGTGAGTCCTTTGCCTCTAAGATCAGAAACAAGGGAAGGATGTCCACTCTTACCATTCATATTCAATGTTAGATTGAAAGCAGTTTCACGTTTAACAAAGCAAGAAGAGAAATAAGTCATACAGATTGGAAAGGAAGACAACGTCAAGGAACCTGAAAGCAAACAAACAAAACTCCTAGGAATAATAAATGATTTTAGTAAAGTCAGAGGACACAATGTGAACACACTAAGATCTATGGTATTTCTATGCAAAATATTAAAAGAACACTTAAAACTCAACAATAAGAAAACAACCCCATTAAAAATGGGCCAAAGACCCTAACAGACAACTTATTGAAGAAGACATACAGATGGCAAAGTATATGGAAAGATGTTCAATATCATATATCATTAAGGAATTGCATATTAAAACAATAAGACACCACACACCTTTTAGAATGGAAAAGAAATGTAAACACTGATGACACCAAATGTTGGCAAGGATGTGAAGCAACAGGAACTCTAGTCCATTGCTTACCTTGTGATCCAGCAACCATGCTCCTTAGTATTTACTCAAATGAGTTGAAAACTTACGTTTACACAAAAACTTGCACACAGATGTTTATAGCAGCTTTATCTGTAACTGCCAAAATTTGAAAGCAACCAAAGTATCCCTCAGTAAGTGAATGAATAAGTAAATAGTGGTTCATTCAGACAATGGAGTATTATTCAGTGTTAAAAGGAAATGAGCAATCATACCATTTCCATGTAAAGACATGGAAGAAACTTAAATGCATATTAGTAAATGAAAAAAAGACAATCTGAAAAGACTATACAATTGTATGAGTTCAACTGTGTGACATTCTAGAAAAGGCAAAGCTACGGAGACAGTGAAAATATCAGTGGTTGCCAGGGGTTGGGAGGAGGGAATGATGAATAGGCACACTCCAGAGGTTTTTAGGGTAGTGAAACTATTCTGTATGATATTTTAGTGATGGATACATGTCATTATAAGTTTTTTTCAAACCCATGGAATGTACAAAAAGAAGAGTGAACCCCAATATAAACTATGAACTTTGGGTGGCAATTATGTATAAATGTAGGTTCATCAGTCTTCACAAATGCATCACTCTGGTGTGGAATGTCAACAGTTGGTAAGCTGTGCATATGTGCGGACAGAGAGTACTGTATATGGGAACTCTTCTACTGTTTTCTCAGTTTTGTATGGACTTAAAACTGTTTTAAGAAATAAAGCCTATTAACAAAAAAACTCAATGGTCACATTAAGATTAAAAATGTCTACTCTTTGAAAGACATAATTAAGAAAATAAAGATGCAAGTCACAAAATAAGATAACATTCACAGTTTATATATACTTCTGTCAAATACATATATATAACTATATATGTTTCTGTCAAATATATATATATATATATATATATTTGGCAGAAGACATATTTAGAACAGATAAAAAACTCTTAAAAGACAATAATAAGAAAAGCAACCCTATAAAATGGGCAAGGGCTGGGCATGGTGACTCTTGCCTGCAATCCCAGCACTTTGGGAGGCCAAGGCGGGAGGATCACTTGAGGCCAGGAGTTTGAGACTGGCCTAGGCAACATAGCGAGACCTTGTCTCCACAAGAAAAAATGAAAAACTAGCTAGGCATGGTGATGCATGCCTGTAGTCCTAGATTCTTGGGAGGCTGAGGCAGGAGGATCACTTGAGCCCAGGAATTTGAGGCTACAGTGAGCTGTAATTGTGCCACTGCGCTCTAGCCTGGAAAATAGAGTGAGACCCCGTCTCAATAAAATAAAATAAATAAAATGGGCAAAACATTTGAATAAACACATTACAAAAGAAGATAAAGTGCCCAATAAGCACATAAAAAGAGGCTGAACATCATTAGTCATCAGGATATGAAAATTAAAACCACAATAAAATATACCCCAGAATGGCTAAAATTTAAAAGGCTGACAATATAAAGTGTTCGCAATTATAAGGAAAAATACTCTTATACATTGCTACTGGAAATGTAAAATGGTGCAGCTGCTTTGAAAATAGGCTAGCAATTTCTTATAAAGTTAACCATTTATGTATGACCGAGCAATTTTATTTCTAGATATTTACTCACAAAGACTTAAAAACAAATTTTCATAGCAGCTTGACTCAGAAGAGCTAATAAATGGAAAGAATCCAATGTTCATCAACAAGTAAATGGATAAACAAATTATGGTATGTAACACAATGGAATATTACTTAGCAATAAAAATAAATGAACTAACAATATATAGAGAGCAACAGAGATGAGTCCCAAAAACATTATGCTATGAGCAAGAGACCAAACACAAGAGTATTTATTGTATGGTTTCATTTATGCGAAGCTCTAGAAGAGATAAATCTAATTTTTAGTGATAGAAAGTGAATCAGTGGTTGCCTATGGCTGAAAGTTGGGGGCAATAACAGGATAGGGGAGCAGGGGAATTTTGAGATATTAGATATCTTCTATGTTTCAATTGTGATAAGAGTTACATCAGTATATAAACTGGTTAAACTCATTGGAAATATGCAAAGTGTATGCATTTTATTGTATTTAAATCATTCTGCAACAAAGTTAATATTTAAAAACTCTCAATGGTTTTACTAAGACTCTTGCTTTCATGATACTAAATACACCTTAAATTTGAGCAACAAAATAATTTATTGGCTTACATAGCCAAATATATACTTTATATACTCATACTATAGGAAAGGCAGGCGGGAAGCCTACCTCAAGTAAAACAAGAATCAGGAACTCAAGTATTGACAAAACTCCCTCCATTTCTCTTCACAGGACTATCTCTATTGCTGGCCTTGATTGCTCAAGATGGCAGAAACTAGGACAGCTGACAACTCCTGGACTTACATTCTCATGGATTCATCAACCAGATAAAGATCTTTCTTTGGGGGTCAAATTTGAAAAATCTGGAGAAGGACTTCAACTGGCTCCACTTGAGTCATGTGGCTATCTCTGGATGGACCACTGTAAGGGTTTAGGGTACTATGATTGACTCAGATTGAGGTAACTGGTGATTTCCTAACCAAGCATTCTGATGAGAAAGACCAAGTTATATAAGAAGAAAGAGGAAGCTTTTAGAATATAAATTAAAACCAGAAGCAAAAGAGACTTTTTATAAAAAGAAAGAAATAGTATAAACAAGGCTACTGAATCATTTAAAACTAAAAATCCATTCTTATTTATTTTTCAGATAGTGAATATTAAAGAAAAATATTCTAAATTCTCGAAGCCTGTGTCTAGCTGAGACAACAAATCCATAAAGCATTTATTTCCATCTCTAAACTTCTTATTTACTAAGAATCTGAATATTTTATACCACCAGAAGTTGATCAGGCTTTTTTACTCATGTTATGAAAGAAGAAAACAGTTGTTCCTATAATCATAAAATTGCTCAGTTCAAAGAGAGAGGTGAACCCACTGGGGACATCACTAAGTCCCTTCTTACGTGCATATTGTAACATTGTTACACTGTTGGATTCCTCTTCATAAGTTGGGTTACATTCACTGCAGATGGTACATCTGACTTTAGAGCAGGTGTTGTAGCAGGCCTGGCCCACAGCATCCTGATGCTTATCACCTGGACAGTTTCCAGCCACAGATTGGTCTTCGAGTTGTTGAGGAGATTGTCAGAGAGATTGATAGTGTGAGCCATACTGGAATTACCCATGATAAATGACACGATTTCCTCCACTCTTCTCAAAAGACAAGCTGTGAATCACAAGACTATTCAGCTAAACTTGATGAGTACCTCTTTCCACGTGGAAGTTGCCTAAAAACACATTTACATCCAGACTTGGGTCACCTGCACAAATCAGAGCATTTAAGATCCAATGACTCACTCTTGGAATATGGAAATCAACTAACTGAGTATAAGATTTGTAAACCTAAAAGATAGCTTTGGTAATTTTTTTGTTATTTATTTTGCCAACTATTACCTGTTTTATGCTTAGTACTGTGCCAGTTAGGTTAAGCTAAGCTGAAGTAACACATAAAGCCTGAAATATCACGGTTTAAACATAATGCAATTTGTTTACTCATTTAACAGTCAGATGATATTGCTGAAGTGGGAGGGAAGGACCAGTAGCAGAATCTACACCAACCAGTCATTCAGAGACATGTTTCTTTTAATCCTAATGCCTCTGAATTCAATGTGTCCCTTGAATAACTATCGGAAGAGGAAGAAGATGACAGATTATATGGGAGAGATTTTTATGGGGCAGATCTGGCAGTAATACCATTTCTACCATATTCATTGTCTAAATCTGGATTACACATTCCAAATTTAACTGCAAAGGAACAGAAAATGTGGTTTAGCTGTTTAACCAGGAAGACGAAGAATAGGGAAATGGATATTGGTGATTATTAGCAATCTTTGCTACACAGGCACTGCAGCAATGCAAATGGGAAAACAGTAAGTTGATTGAAAACTGAAATTTACTGGAATGAAGTCAGTGATTTTTCATCTACAAGGAAGTCTCATACTTTTATTTATTTCTTTATTAATACTGGATAAAATTCTCTTCTTAGAATGGGTAAAACTATTTCTCAAACCACATAAGTAAAGTATATAAAAATCTCCAAAATTTCAATATTCTCAGCTCAGCTATCATAGAGAATGATATGTAATTTACCAACTTAAAACATTCTTTAAACAGAAGGCAAACTAAACTTCAGTTAATAGACTTATCAAGAGAGAAAAGGTGCATTTAGAAAATTCTCAATTGGGCTGGGCATGTTGGCTCACACTTACAATCCCAGCACTTTGGAAGGCGGGGGCGGGGAGATCATTTGAGGTCAGGAGTTTGAGACCAGCCTGGCCAACATGGTGAAACCCCATCTCTACTAAAAAAACTAAAAAAAAGTATTAGCCAGGTGCTGTGGCCCACACCTGTAATCCCAGCTACTGGGAAGGACGAGGCATGAGAATCACTTTAGCCTGAGAGATGGAGGTTGCAGTGAACAAAAAAACCCAGAGAAACCAGTAATACCATTTTTTTATAATAGCTAAATTACATATAAATTTACAAAAATTAAAAATAATCCACAATCAAGAAAAAATATCTGTATTCTTTACTTCTGTTCTCTTTATTGTCCCCTACCCCAACCCTCTGAAAGTAGCAGCATAGGCCGGGCTCAGTGGCTCACGCCTGTAATCCCAGCACTTTGGGAGGCCGAGGCGAGCGGATCACGAGGTCAGGAGATCGAGACCATCCTGGCTAACACAGTGAAACCCCGTCTCTACTAAAAATACAAAAAATTAGCCGGGCGCGGTGGCGGGCGCCTGTAGTCCCAGCTACTCCGGAGGCTGAGGCAGGAGAATGGCGTGAACCCAGGAGGCGGAGCTTGTAGTGAGCCGAGATAGCGCCACTGCACTCCGGCCTGGGCGAAAGAGTTAGACTCCGTCTCAAAAAAAAAAAAAAAAAAAAAAAAAAAAAAAAAAAAAAAAAAAAATTTAAAAAAATCAAAGTAGGAGCATAAGTGATTTACTTATGGCTAGATATGGTGAGAAGCTAGGAGAGCAGTTTACTTCTGAAATGTCGGAGGAGACCTCGATCATGATTCCTGGGGCCTTGATAATTACATGGCAGCAATGTCCATCCTAGCCTGGACTTTATCCACCGTGGTCTTCCTGGACTCAGAAGCTAAATGGCTCCACTCATCATCCCCATATCAAACCTTATAGTACTGTACTTTTCCTGGCCTGATAGGTAATTTACCAACTTTCATTCATTCATTCATTCATGATAAGTTGTGGGGTTTTTTTAAAAAAAATTCAATTTTAGGAAAAAGAGAGAAAGAGGGAAAAAGAGACAGAGATACCAAAGAGAGATATCATTCAAGAAGTGTATATATGAATACATTACAGACTTAGATTTCTTATGCAAATTCAATCCACTACTAACAAAATACAACAGAGTATTATGCCATATTTACCAAGTGCTCATTTTTCAAGAAGCATTATTCTAAATGCTTTAGAACAGCAGTCCCCAACATTTTTGGTACCAGGGACTGATTTTGTGAAAAACAGTTTTCCAGGACCAGGTGGTGGGGGATGGTTTTGGAATGATTCAAGTGCATTACATTTATTGTGCACTTTATTTCTATTATTATTACATTGTAATATACAATGAAATAATTAGACAACTCACCATAATATAGAATCAGTGGGAGTCCTGAGTTTGTTTCCTGCAACTAGACGGTCCCATCTGGAGTTAATGGCGGATAGTGACCGATGATCAGGCATTAGATTCTCTTAAGGAGCATGCAACCTAGTTCCCTCGCATGTGCAGTTCACAGCAGGGTTTCCCCCACTATGAGAATCTAATGCTGCTGCTGATCTGACAGGAGGCGGAGCTCGGACAGTAATGTGAGTGATGGGGAGCGGCTGTAAATACAGGTGAAGCTTTGCTTGCTTTCCCGCCACTCACTTCCTGCTGTGCAGCCTGGTTCCTAACAGGCCATGGACTGGTACTGATCTGCAGCCTCGGTGCTGGGGACCCCTACTTTAGAATGTCTAACGTGTGTCTAACGTTACTTGGCATCACTATTATCTCCTTCCAAGGCCTCCCCTGAATGGCAGAAGTGAAGATGGGACATGTGTTTCCCAGAATCCTCCTTTCTGTAAGATTCCTGGTTAGAGTTTGTAAATTATAGGAAACTGAAACCAATTAGGAAAATGTAGGTGAAGAAGCTCTTAGTCTCCAAAGGCTGATCTACCCAGACTCATAGACTTCCTGATGAATCCTTGACAGCCACCTGCTTTGTTGCTACAGACAGAAAAATTGATAAAATATTCTCAAAGATTCTGAAGAATTGCAGCAACTTCTCTTAGAAGTTTTATGAGAACCACACTATTTGTTGCTTTAATATGAGATCTTCAATGATTGCTTCCCTGACATTGGAGGCAGCTTCTTGCACTTCTAGTGGGGGTTTGAGGGTCAACAATCATGAAAGTCTCAATTTTGATATTAAGCACTTATTATCCAGAAAACATGTGATGACTTCTGTTTTACTGACCACACATTACTTTGATACAAGTAATCAAAATCGTTTTGTAAGATAGACATATTAGCACATCATCTACATTTTTTTCATATGAAACAAAAGCTTAGAAATGTAAATATCTTATTAAAGTTTTCACAGCCAGAATTCAAACTCAATATGTTAACTCCAGAAATTATGCTTTTCCTTATTATGTTCTACTCTCAATAAAGTCAGCACCAACGAAATATAGAATTTTATAATAAAAGAATAACTAAACAATATTAAAGATGTACCTTCCTAATCAGCCACCATTCCTCTCCTTTTTCCTTAAAAAAAATAAACCCTTTCTAGAGCTTCTTTTCCACAGTATCAGTATTAATAATTTGCATTAGCTTTCTCATTAATCAGCCACCATTCCTCTCCTTTTTCCAAAAAAAAAACCAAGAACTTTCTAGAGCTTCTCTCCTACAATATCAATATTAATGGTTTGCATTAGCTTCCTCATCATGTCTACAATCTATCAAATTTATTGGTAAATGTTGAACTTTCTAGACTCCTAGATTTGCTCATAATCACCTTAAACTATTGAATGCTCAAGCATTGTAGTTTCTGCTTAGTTAGTAGTTACAACTCTGAACGCAAAAAAAGAATCTTACTTTTTTCAATAATTGTTTCTCACAGGAAATTGCAATGAGCAATTAAGCATGGTAGAATCGCAAACTAACCTGGAAGATTTCATGAGAAGAAATGTTTCAAAATTAAAAAAAATAAAAAGACAATAGAAAAATTTTATCATGTAATCAGGACAAAAAACAGAGTTCTCAACTTAGAAGAGGTATTAATAATTTGGGGGTCACTTTAAATTACCATTCCTTTAGAACATTATTCTTCACTTTTCCATTTCCTTGAAGAATGAAAAATAAAACACATGCAAACTTGAATTGTATGCAAGAAAACCTGTTCATTACAAGCCATTGATCATGTGTTTGTGGATATAATTTATTATAACAAGATTGTATCCTAGCTCTTCTAGAAGAAATAGACACAGACTTGAAGAACTTTTGTCTCTGAGTCCCATAATTGGAACCTTTAAACAAAGTTATAATTTTAAATTTAAATATTTAAATTTAAAATATTGTTAAATATTTAATTATGTAAATATTTAATTATGTAAATTATTTTAAATGAAAATTTCAAATTTAAATTTAAACTTATTTTAAATTAAATTATTAAAATTATTAAAATATTTAATTGTTTAAATTATTTAATATTTAAATATTATTAAATAAAATTTAAATATTACTCCTTAGATATTACGAATAGAAGCTTCTAGGATGCTTATGACTGTAATTATAGATAGGATAAAATCCTTCCTTCCAGATGAGATGAATCAGTTATTCTAATTTGTTTTCTTGTGCTTTATGATTTTTACCTTGAAGTCTCATGGCAGACTTTCATTATTCTCCTCATTTTAAAAAATGAGGACATTGAAACCCATACAAGTTTGCTCAGAATGACTGAGAATCCAGGGTAAAGTATACCCAATTCCATTTCTCTCACTAAATCCTCATCAATAATGCCGTAGGAATACTGAACTAATGGAAAATAGCCATACACAAAGGGAATACAGAGAAAATATTTGCCATACAACTTGAACCAAAAAAAAAATAATATTTATTTATTCATCAGTTTATTTCTTATTTGTCACATGCAATCATTTATTCAGTTTTCAGCTCTTTCAAAAATAAATTTGAAGTGGCTTATGCCAACATCACTCCATTAAAGAAGTCCTAGATGAGCTGATGTTAGTAGCATCCCACATTCATTAGATTACTATTATTGCCTTTTCCTAAAATTGATTTTGATGGCAAATGTATTAAAGCACTTGCAACATGAATCTAAAATTCCAAATGTTAGTATTTACATGTTAAACTTGAATTAAGCCTCCTATTTCCTCATCCCGATAAAGGAATGAGGCTAGTTCATATTGTGCCTTTGGGAGAACCAGGAAAATTCTTCCTCTCTGGAGAGAGCCAGGCATATGGTTGGAAGGCTGGGCAGGCAGTCAAAGTCATGGTGAGTATTAAGAAAATGTGCCCCTTCTTCCTAGTGGATATAGGGCCACATCAGGTGTTTGGCTTGGCAAGAAGACTATGAGCTGTGTTGTAGCTCCCACTCACCCCGACACTGGGTGCTTCAGTGCAAGGTATTAATACAACCAGCACAGATACAAGTAGTAATTACATAAGCACCCTTCTTAGCCCTCAGATCTCTGATTCTGCATTGCAAAATATCACTTTTTTTTTTTAAGAATGGAATAGATTGTTAATTTTTATTCTTGTTTTGTCAACTACTTACTTGTAATATTTTAAATTTTACATTCTCTTACCATTTAGAGGACAATTTCTTTGCAAATTAGCACTTTTCTAAGCCCTTTGATATTCATTGGGAATGTTAGTCTTTTGTTCACTTCTTGCTCCCTCTCTCTACCTGATTTCCTTAGATAATTATCCCAAGTCGTACCTACTTTCCATTTCCTCTCAAACCCAAATTCTTCCATCTTCATCACTAACAGCCTCTCATTTTACTTAAGTGAAACAATAGTACAATCATAAATGAATTTTAATTTTCTTCTAATTTAGAATATCTCTACATTAGTATTCTAAGCATTCCTTTTCTGTGTCAGAATTTTTGAAGTTTACTTTTGAAAACTGAACCACCATGTTTATTATTTGTTTTCTGTTTTTTCCACATGTTTATTATTTGAATACAAACGTATTAAGTGCTCATGTTTGCAGGGTCCTGTGCTACCCGCTGGGGGAACATTGGTGAAAGATACTCATGTGTTCCTTCATAAATACACAATCAGATAGATGGGGAAGTAAACAAGGACTAGGCAATTGATGATCATATAGTGTAAAAATTTTCCCTGACAGAGGGATGGAGTATTGTGTAAGGACAAATCAGAGACATCCACACCAGATTTGGAATCGGTAGTAGTTTCTTTTTTTTTTTTTTGAGACAGGGTCTCATTCTGTCCCCCAGCAGGCTGAAGTACAGTGGGGCAACCATGGCTCACTGCGGCCTCAACCTCCCTGGCTCAAGCAATTCTCCAAAGGAGAAGCTCCTTAGAGAAAGGATTGATCCCTCAAGAATGAAGAGGAGATGATTGAGCAGAGATAAGGGAGGTAGGAGTAGTTTGCACATTCTTGGGAGACGGAGGAATGGGTTTAAAGGCCTGGAGATAAGAGACATTGTGATTGGCCTTGAACATAATTCAACAACAGAAGAGAGCAGGCCTTCATGGTGCTAAAGGGAATTCTGTGTAATTGAAGCATGGGACACCATTGAACAACAGTAATAGAAGAAAAAACAGAAGTAAACAGGGATAGATAACTCAGGGTTTTGGAAGCCATGTATTAATTTTAGTTTTTTTACTGATAACTTGATTTCAATATTACCATCTTTTTACCATTTTTTAGCAAATACTTTTCAAGCATCTATTATGTATTAGACTCTATTCTGTGCTAGACATTTAAGATACATCTACAATATGCTAGATTTTCAAGATACATCAGTGAACAATAGAGCAAAATATTGTCTGCCCTTTTGAAGCTTATATTTAGCAAAGAAGATGCAATATACCTAAGAAAACATAGAAGTATGAAGAAAAAGAAAAAGTAGAATAGAGTGAGGGGGTTGTGAGAGGCATGAAGTTGTGTTTGAAATGCACAGCTGTGGATTGGCTTCATTCAGTATCTCTTCCCTGTCTTTCTGTGCTCTCTAGTTTAATTGAGAGCATCACTGTCCACCCTGATACCGATGTTAAAGCTCACTGGTTGCTAAAGTCTTGGGACTCTGCTTCTCCTTTTGTATTCTCATTGCCATTGCCTTACACCACAGCATCCTGTACCCTTATTCAAATAATTCAACAACTACCTGTCTGTTGGTCTCCATTATTTCTCCGTTATAAATTCTTCTTCATCCTTAATCAGAGTCTTCCTTCCAAATGACAAGTAGTCACGCCACTCCTTTGTTCAAAAACCTTTCCCACCTCTATAATGTCTACAGATAACGGTCCTGACACCAAGTATGGCATTTAAAATCCCCCAAAATCTGACCTCTGACTAGCTGTGGATCTGTCTTCTAAAATTTTTCTCCTGTAGCCCACCAAGCTAATAGAGCATTTAAGCATGGACTTTTCCTTCTTTTGGATAATATTTTGCCTATTATAATGTTTTGTCTTTTATGTCTCCCTCTTTCTCCTCATCATTGTATTTTTGTAGTAAAATCTCCTCTATCTCTAAAGCCAGGTCACATTTGCTTTCATTGGTGAAGAGTTTCCTGTATCTTCCCAGTCATTCTAAATAAGTGTTCCATTTTCTGTTCTCCCATGGAATTATGTTTTTTTCCTTATGGCATCCAAGTCTTGTAGTTTCATTCTGAATAATTCTGTCTGTAATTGTTACAGACAGAAGACAGTGCAGTCATTAGACTGTAAGCATGCTCAGGACAGGGACCTTCCCGTTGCTCCTCCCCTGGTTTTCCTGCTATAATTATGGCTCAACGTTTTCTGTAGAGTAGGGGCTCCATGAGCGTTGAATTTAAATTCATTTTCTTAAACTCTGGTTTAGGCAATATTTTATTTTGGAGGTCAATGTATTAGCGATCTCATTCATAGAATTAACATGATGGATAAGAATATTTTTAACAAGCATCTTTTAATAATTATAAATGCCAGATTTCATCAGAAGCCTAGAGCAAGTATTATCACTGTGAGACAAAATAAATGCTACATGTGTCAATATTTACACAAGCAGATTACAACAGTGTGGTCTCATCAGTTCAGCTATTGTGTCTTGTGAGCTTAACTAAATTTCAAACTCCATAAGGAACTGCATTTTCCCCTGAAGTTATTAAAGGGTAGATTTCTTTTAATTAAACTCATTTGCATGACTAAATTAGATTTAATTACTTTCATTCATTTCACTAATACCTTTCTTTGATTGGAGAAGGAGAATTTTTATAATTGATTAAAATAGGATGCTCTGGCCTTCTCCATTGATTCTGGAGAATAGTTCTAATTTATGCTTTTAAATGACTAGGGAAACAAATTTTTTTTGATCTAGTGCTACTGCCAATACTCTTCATGAACCTGGGATGGGCACACAACCAATCTGCTCCTTAGCTTCTCCCTCTGATAAGCACTGTAGTACTGATGGTAATGATACTTCTTTTGGCCTATCATGCAAAGGCAAATGATGCTTTCAATGTGGAAGTGCTTGAAACATTCATGTAGATTATAAACCATGAATATTATTGAAATCATTAATGTCAGAAATTAAAGCTTTTGTTTTAAATGTTTTCTAAAAATGAAGTTCCTCTTTGCCTTTTGGGTGGTAATCATTGTTTTCATAATTTCAGATTATCAAAGTTTGTTATTGTATTCATTCATTCACTCATGCCTGCATGCATTTATTCAGTGTAAATTTTTTTTCATGCAATATTACAGACATGGTGACTGTCATTGGATAGAATTAGATAAACTCTTAACAAGTCTAATAAAACATATTCCTCCCTCAGGAGTTCAGTCTTGAGAGAGAGAGGTTAATATGTAAAGAAATACATTTTGATAAATGGAATAAAAAAATTGCATACAAGGTTCATGGTTGAAAAGGGGGAGTTTTTAACTCAGCTTGAAGGTACCTAAAATAGATCCTATGAGATAAATGCATTTAAAAAGATAGGAGAGGAAGGTTATTCTAGGACAAAGGAATTCTGGGTTCAAAGGCACTCAAGCAAGAATAGAATGACATATTTGGAAAACTCTAGATTACTTTGGCTTAAGTTTTGACTTAGAGCATGAATTGACAGGGAAGGAGTTTGGAGAATAACTCATCCTGGGGGTGATTTGGCTTAAAGCAGGTAAGTAAAATGAATATATTTATGTATTAGAATGATAATGAAATAGCAATATGGAAAGTAGATTCGAGGGAAATAAGTCCAGTTAGGACATTCTTCAGTTCAAAGATAACATATACCTGCAATAATGTAGTAACAATAAATTTGGAGAGAAAAAAACAAATGTAACGTATTTCATTGGTATTTATTTAGCAGATAGAATTGTCAGGCAGAAGTTTAAGATATCTTCTATGTTTCTGCATTGGATGATATTTTAAGTAGTGGTAGCATTACCAAAAGCTTAAGAAGATAAATATGTTTAGGGGTGTGACTAGAAGGAATTCTAATTCAAGTTTTGGGGATGTAATTTTGAAATGAAGACAATACATTTGTCTGGGTCCTAGGATAAGGGTATAGGAAAACGTTCTAGATTTGAGAGTTGTAACTGAGGTTTTCATGTGTTGTTTTGTTTTAAATCTACTCTTTACTTTCTTTTGTGAAATGCCCCTTTCCTGAGTTACTGATTCTGGTTTGACTATTAAAACACCATGCCTCTCCCTCTGATGGTGGAGGGCACTTGAATCAAGTCAGGCCAATCAGAAAACAAACATAGGTACTGGTGAGGATGCCGGAAGAGAGGTGGTCATGTTTTTTCCAGTGGGATTACTAGCTGTTAGAATAAGTAAGCCCAGAGTAACTGGTGGTGTCTTTGTTTCTGTATAGGTAAAGTTTGCAGATGAAGACAATACAGAAGTTAAAAAGCAACAAAAGAAACAGTTCTGCTGATATTTTTGCACTACTGGATCCAACCAAGCCTTTAGTTAACTTTCTCCTTAATGTTTTAGATATGTGAGCTAATAAATTTTGAGTTTCATGCCTTATGCATGTTTTTATTTCTGTTACTTGTATCCAAAAGCATCTTAACGAACTCAGAGGTTTTCACCAAGTGAGCTGTAATGCACATTGGGAGGAGGAGTGTCATAGCTCAGGTCAGGGTGTGGTAAGTGAGGAGAGAAAAAGATTAAGATAGACTAATCAGAGGAAACGTGAAAATTGAAAGATAGATGGAGGGAAAGAATCCCACAAAGAAAAGTAGATCAATTAAGAAGCCTAGCAAAGAGTAGTATGAAGGAAGCCAAAGAAGTAAAGAAAACATCAAGAATAATGGAATGTCATAGGGAAGAGATGAGATCATATTAAATAAGACAAGATATATCAAAATGTCTGTTTGATTTAGCAATCCGAAGGTCATAAATGACTTTAATAAGAACCGTTTCAGTAGAGTGGTGGGTGCAAGACAGATGGAATACGTGTGAGAAAGTGAAGTCAGAGAACTGATTTTGTCTCTCAAGAAGATTATGTGTAAAGGGGCAGTGGGAGATTGGGCTTTGTGTTCAGTGAAATGCATAGTCTTTCTAAAGGCTAGAAAGAGGTTTTTTTTTCCTAAGTTGGGAAAAGCAGCACCTGTATAAGTGCTAAGAAAACGCACTATTTTTTCTTCTGTCCTTTCTTGTTTAAATATGGTACTTTTTACATGGCTTTTACAAGAAAACTTGTGGTGATTACCAACATAAAATGCCAACTAGATAAGAATAGTGACAAATACAAATCAGAGGCCTGCTGGTTTCTTTCATTCACTTATGTAAGTCCTGGAGGTTTCCCATATTCGGATGCTTCAGTTTTCTTTCATACTAAAAAGTAGAAAATCTTATTTTAACCAAAAAATGCATACTGAGACATAGAAAATCATAAGGTATGCCCTGTATCCATATCATAACACATATAGGAGCTAATGACTGGCTCCTGCAAATATTTTCAAAACAATGCTCTTGATTTCAAAACCTGTGCTTTGTTACTGAACAGAACGGTTTTCCCAACAGAGGATTGTCATTATTCATTTTAAGAAACCCGTGTTTGCTGAAGTTGATATAATATGACTTATCTCAATAAACTACGCTCAAAGCTTTGCATTATTTGGTGCCATTTCTACTCATTAAATGTCATATTTTTAATCTCTCTATTACAATGTATAAGTAACATTTATCAAACCACCCAGGATATGAATCTATTTGTCAGTTTCATGTTTTTTAAAATATAATAATAGTAAATATAGAAAAGAAACATTTAAAAATTTAAAAAGAAAGCACTGTATTGCTTCTTAAGTAAGGCATCACATTGTTAATAAGTGGTCTATGTACTCATTAAAAAGAAAATTCTCAAATATTGCAGTAAGTAATAATGTACTAATAGTCGTGTCTGTCTCTTCCAGCCTATAAACAAAATCTAGGGTATAAGCCAAAATAACTCACCACAATGGATCAATTTTTGGAGAGTTAAAAAGCCTATCAGCATTCTGGATGTAGACACCTGATTCCTAATCAGGAAGTGCTTTGAGGTGAGCACCTTCCCTTTCAAGCCTGCATTTGGATATTTGGCGTGGGTGTACAGTCATAAAAAGGAATGTGTCATGAAAAGAAATGGAAACAAACAAGCCACAATATCAAAAGGAAGAAAAAAAATACCACAAACCACAGTTTCACAGTCCTCTATTTATGCTAGCACATTCTGGGAAAATCACTCAAAAACCTGTTACTAATCATTTAAACCTTAGGCTGTCGACATTTTTCTGCTTTGCTAGCCAAATAGTCATGTGCAGCAGCCAGAGGGTTAAAGAGCCAGATTTCCTGTCCCATACTGTAGCTTTGTGTGAGCAATATGGAGGACCCCATCATCGCTGCAGAGGCTCCTGTTGAACATGAAGAAGTCTATCCAGGCAAAAATATGTGCAGCCTTCTGGGCCAGATTTGCTCCGGAAGGGCTTCTGAGTTGGCTGTGCAGTGAACTAAGCTGTCCAGACCTGCTGTTCTGCAAAGGCCAAGATTCTCCCTTTGTGCGTCTAGTTCTTCAGCCACCAGACCATACAAAGCCTACTTTCCCTGGGTCCAGACACCCTACACCATCATAAAAAAGTCTTTGTTTTGTATCAGGAAATAAAATACACAATTTAATATAAATTTGATTATTTATATTTTGGTAGACTGAGACAAACATTTCAATATTCACATTGAAATAAAATAAGTGAAACCGAGCAAGTAACTAGATAGTTCTGAGATTTAGACTGTGGAAGGCAACAAAATTTTCTATTACTTGATTTAAAAAAATACTTACAGCCTGTCAATTATGCAACAGTTTTATTTCCAGTGGCCTAGGCACAGTGCTTTATTTGTATTATTTTAATGGAAGATTTATGATATGCTGATAATAAGTACTATATCCTATGTCTTTAATACATACATTAGGAGAGTTCATTGTCAAGGGAATGGGAAATTAATGCTCTCAAGACCCCGGTCACACATCATGATTGTACTTTGTGACTTGGAGTGAGAATTCTTGATTTTAATTTTCTCCAGGCTCTGCTCATTTGACTTGTGCTCATCCCTGCTTAATAAACAAGATAAGGACAAAAATACTTAAAGTCGGCAATATTTTGTGGACAATTATTAGTATTTTTCACTTCATAAAAAATCAAAGTTCAAATTCAGTTTGACAAGAAACCCACCTACACTACCTCCTTCTATGAAGTTCCTCACTGACAGTCTGAAAATCGA